>NC_000010.11:88476428-88779458 GCF_000001405.40 Homo sapiens | reverse complement strand
TTTCCATATTATCACATGGTTTTCATAGTGACCATTATTCCCCATCAATACGTATACATTAAATTGATGAATGCTAGTTTTGAGAGAAGAATGGCTCCAGGGGCCAGCAGCTTGTGGATTTGCCAGCAGAGCAGGAAAGTATTATGGAGCTGGCTCTGGATTTTCCAAGGATCATCTCTCTTAGCACAGAAGGATATCAGCCTGCATCAGAACACTTGATCAGATTTACAGTCTTGCTCAGAATCTTTTGTTGGCATCTTCTAATCCATTCTCTATGTAGCAGCCAAAGTGGTGGTTACAAAAATGCGGCAATCAGGTTTCCATTAGGTAAAATATTTTGGTGGCTTCTCATTGCTTTTAAGATGGAGGAAGAAAATACTTAATGTTTAGAGACTATCTAGCCTAGTACTTTCTGCTTCCATCTTTAGCTCAATCTTTTATTGTCAGTTTCCTATCTGTCAGTTTTTCATGGAATGTTCAAACCCCTCAAAGAACAAAAAGCCTGTAAAGGGGGCATTACATGCTAAACAAAGAAGCCTCCCTATGATTATAAAATGATATTGATGCTGTACAATTTATTTCTGCTTTAATAAGGAAGATTTTATACATGTATCCTATTATGGGTTCAAGATTCCGTTTACGCAGATAGCCAGGGATAAGATTGTAAGAAAAGAGGGCTTCTCTGGAAGAATCTTTGGGGACTTTTTTGAATTTCTGATGTTGAAAATACCTAAAAAAGTAAAAATGTCTATACATCTTCAGGATAGCTAAGAAACTTTTATAAAGAAGTTACAGGCCCTCCTCCTAATCCCACACTCTGTCCATTGCCATAGCAATCCATATAAATAAAATGACAACAGAGGTTTCCATATAGGACCTTAAAGGAATTTCACTGTTCCTTTGAAGCTTCAGACATTTCTATACTTCATGGTATGCCCTAAAAATTACAATTTAATTAGACTTAAATGCCAGATAGAGTAGCAACTTGTTTATCTTTTTGCCTAATCTACCTCATTGTTTATAAGGACCTGTAGATGGTCCCATGCAAAGATGTCTCTAAACATAAATAACACTAACACAATTGACTTGGAAAACAGACTCCACTGTGCATCTCCCCCAGGGTGCTGGGGGACAACCTCATTGTTGGTTACTATTTTTTCTAAAGTCCCTTATGGGCTTGGAAGCAACTTTTAATTGAAAAGTAAATGCATTGCATTTAGGAATATGCCTTCATTAAAGCTATGATTTCACTGTACATCCGTTGAGGGGCATCGAGGCCCCAGACAAAATCAAAGTGGTTCCAATCTGGCAATAGCTTAAAGTAATGAAGACTCTTGATTTGAGGGAGTATCCTGGCCACATCCTGGGGTGTTACGAGGACATCATGTCCACCAGCCCAAATAGCAGTAGGCACTTTCATGGCAGTCAGGTCATATATAGGGGGATGACTCTGTGGGAGAGAAAGCAAGGGCATTCATGAGAGGAAGCTCCTCAAAGCAATAACTACAAAGGCTGCTAAATGAATGTGGACAATGGCCATAGTTCTGTTAGGCACCAGCAACATATGAAGAAAACATACAATGGTCTCTACCTTTAAGAAATTTGCAAAAGAGGGAGCAAGGCAAATATTTGTATACAAAGTAAGGTATGTTAAATGCCATAAACACTCCAAAAATAAAATGGAAAAAAAGGCAAAAAATTATTTCCACCTGAGGGCTTCATAGAAAGAGGGGTCCTGTGAAATGACTCTTGAGGGAAGGTTGCATTTTGACAGCAGAGATGAGGGTGAGTGGGAGGCAGGAAGAGTTTGTAGGCTATGATCAGGAATGGCAAGCTTCCCAGTGTACCTGGAGAACAGAATATGTAAAGGAATATGATAGGATATAAACTTGGAGGCAGATAATCAAAGTCTGAATGTCAGGCTAGGAAATTTGGACATATTGCGGAAGTTTTGGAGACAAGGGTCATTTCTCGGAGGTCTGTCTTCGGACTACCATATGGGCAACAGTTAATGGAATCACCTACAGAAAGAATAGGTTGAAGGCAAGTCCTGAAAAAATCTAGATAAGCCATAGAAATGGTCCAAATTAAAGCTATGCTGACTTCTCCAAGGAAGAAAGAGAGTTTTGAAGAATCCTTGGGGAATGCTAATGATTTCAGAGAGGTGGAAGGTGGAGTAGCCAGTGCCTGGGACAAAAGGAACAATCACAAACAGAAGGAAAATCAGAAATCATTGTGTTATGGAAGTCCAAGTCAGGGGACTGAGTTTCAAGGAGACTGTGGTAACGAACATAACACATTTCAAAAGGTGAAGATAGGCCATTGAATTTGGCAATTAAAAGCCATGGGTGACTTTAAATAAGGTAGCTATGATAAAAAGATGAAGACCTAAACTACATTGTACAAGGTTAAGGAGTAAGTAGAAGAAGCCCTCTTCAATACTAAAAATATGTTGATAAGAACAGAGTGACATAATGATAACTTGATAGAATTGATGGTCTTGCTTGTTTTTCATAAGGGACAGGAGAATGGAGGCAGGAAGGAAGGGGAAGTGAGAAGAGATGGGATCAAGGGCACAGGACCGGAATAACTTGGAAAATAAGAGGACCATCATTTTCTGATAGAGAAAGGAAGGAGAGAATCAAGAAGATAGAGACATTTTGAGGTAGATTAAAGTTAAGAAATTTCATTAATGCAACACATAGATACTGGGAGCCCAGTAATTGTCATGTACTCTTCCAGATGAGAAAACACTGGTGAACAAAATGATGAGAAATCCCTACCCTCATGGAGCTTACATGGGTTAATTCTCTTATACTCAATAAAATATAGATATAGCAGAGATAATGCTGTGAACTTGAGGAGAGAGCAAACTGTTGAGACTAGTTTTTTGGAGAGAATGTAATAAAAATTGGCATCAAATGAGATTAATTCACAAAATAGGACCGGCTTGGAGCAGAGTAGGACCAGCTAACTGTGGACAAATTCTAAGGACATTAACACTCTCACATACTTTAGTACTTGACCATAATGATCTTGAATGTGCGTGTTGATTTTGTTTCATTTTCTTGTAAATGTAAATAATTTATAAATATAGCATGTTTATTCAAAATAATGGAAGAAAACAGACATATGTAAAGTCCAAAATGAGGGTCCTTTACTGTTTCATGTCCATCCACTTCTTTTCTTCTTTCTTCTCTCTGAAGATAACCACTTTAACATTTACTGTTTTTTTTTCTAGACCTTTTCTAAGCATTTGCAAATACACGCATTTGTGTCTATAAATAGTCTCAGGAGCAGGAAAAAAACTTTTAGTGGTGATATAAACGTCCTATATTTAGATTGTGGTGTGGTTACACAAATAAATATATTTGTCAAAACTTATTAAATGGGACACACAAAATTAGTAATGTTCTTGTATGTAAATCACATCTTAAACTTATTTTTAAAAATAAATAAAATATACATGGTCTATCTCTTGTAGTGGTTTTAAGGATTAGTAGAATTATTCCTCTAACAGGCCAATTCATTATTGAGAAATTGATTAGTCTGATTGTTTTGATCCTCAGAAACAACTTATTAATAATCTATAGTTGCACCAGTAAATAGCTTAAAATATGATAGCCTGGGAAAATACTTAAAACAATTTAATTTAGTTTGCTTAGTTCATACTTATAAGCCAAGCCCCTGGCTATGAGAACAGAAAAATGGTGACAGGATTAATTAAAAGTACGGTGCTAAACAAGGCTACAGATTTTTATGTCATAAAGCTATATGGAGAAAGATGCCTTACGACCCAAGTCTTCAATGTTGGGTAATACTTATTCAACTTTCATATGGAATTCTAATTTTTCTGTTGGTATTAAAAAGTGTATATTCATTTATGCTGTAAAGATTTTTATGAAATAATTTCTATTATGTAGCCATTAAAAATGCATTTAAAAATCCCTCAGTTATATTAGTTATCTCTTACTATAGCTTAAGTAAAATAGAAAGATTAAAAGTTGTCTAAAAGCAATATAATACTGAGAAAATTGGAATAAATACACCAAAATGTTAGTACATCTAGTTATCTCTGGATGGAAGGATTACACATGATGTAAGTTTCTTTGTATATGCTTCTTTAATTTATAAATTTTCTGAAATAAATTAAAATTAAAATTAAAATTTTTTTAAAAAAAAGTTCTATCAGTATAAATGCCACCAAATGACAGGTAGGAGTCTTTCCACCCTCAAATAATTTTTTATTATAATTTATCAAAATCAGCATGCTGGGGTTACTGTAAATAGCTCACCTGATTGTAATGTTTCATATTATCAGCGTCATTTCCCCAGTCATAAGCTCTGAATTCATCAGAGTGGTAAAGCTGAAACAAATGTTTTTTAGAAAAAGAATAGTTAGGGTAAGAATCATGAAAGCTAACAGCAAATTTTAGAAAAATGCTGTATGCTAGGACGAAAATAGGGCTCCTAGATCACCAGAAGGATGTAACCACCCATTTTACAATTATGACAAACGGGGCTCAACAGAAAGATGAGCAATACCCCCCTTGGTTTAAAGGAAAAGTTCATGGAAAACCAAGCCTCATTAGAAAGAAGTTAAATCCCAGATACTTCTCTCTGGAGAAGTCTCAGTTCTCCTGAGGCTTCCCTAGTTTACCTCTTGCTTCAGTTCAGGGCCTATTTTTAAAACTCTGATTTAAGGTGGTGTTCATTTATGTCATCTACTTGGTCTGTACCATAACATCCTTTCTCTTAAATTCCAGGGAAATCAAGGCATACAGAAGGCAGCAAGGACAAACTGGAAGCAAGCTCTTAAGATTCTTAGGGTAGGCCTGTTAACAGGGTCAATTCTGTCTTTTTAAATATATTGAAAATAAGGATTGGAATGGTTTTCCATGACTAAGACTCTACCTGTTTTATATGCAGAATGTTGTGTACTGATGAACCAGTGGGAGCATGTGACATATACACATCCATTCGACTCTAAAGGAGATAAAACTCATATTACAGCAATTGCCCAACAAAATTTTGCCTTTCAGAATCAGAGAAAAATGATGCACAGAATTAGCAAACAAGACTGGGGCTTTGAAAATAACAAGGTAGAATTATCTAGATAAATATACCATTTAGGTCAATACTTTAATGTGAGTGAACCACAAGCTGACTAATGGAATGGGCTGCTTGACAGCACACCTGTACCAGCTCTGAATCTGTAGGATAATTTGCTTATTTTGAAGTAGAAGGAACAGTAATGGTCATCATGGAGCAAAGCCAACTAGGAAAGGTTCTATGTGCAAGTGTGGGGGTGATGCATGCATGCGCACCCAGGTGCACTGTCACAGATTAAATCAGAAAACCAGGAGTTCAGGCCCTGTTGTTGTTAATGATCAGCTTTGTGAACTTGGCCACCATATTTAACATCTTTGAGTTTCTGTGTTTTCATCTATTAAATGAACATACTAAAAGTCATAGTACCAATTTCCTAGGCTTTTATGGGGATAAAATAAAATATTGCAAAAGTAAAGCTAAAAGCCAATTTTTTCCAAAGGTTATTTCAGTATTTGTAAACGTTATAGAGATGAAAATTATAGAGATAAAATAGTAATCATAATTCTATGTCTTAGAAAATAATCTAATTAAGAGAAACTATTAAAAATCTTTACTTTTGAGCAAGCCAACTTTGAACAATGGTTCCTTATGGGTTTCAGTCTAACACAATTTAGCTTCTTAGAGAATAGGGGTACAGAACAATTATCTTGGGACTGGCTTCACTGTAACAGCCTCATTGGCTGCTATTTGGAATACAGTAGAGACAACTATTCAACCACACCAGTCTGTGGATGTGAACTCTTCCTCCTCCTTCTTCTTGAATTCTCAATAACAGAAAATGAAGAGGTGATAAAACAGGACTGCTGCTTCTTCATAAAGAGGGGATCCCATCTCCCTTCCACCCTGTCCTGTTATTTTGCAGGTTTTACTTCAAAACAAAAGTCACCCACAAAGAAAGGAACACATGAAATAAGACGCAGGTTTATATGTGCTTCTCTCCTTTTTTAGGATTTTATTTTTAATCCAATATATTCAAATGCAATAAATTCAAATTGACTGTAGTAAGTTATGGCTGATTGAGAACATGTAAGAAACTGCTACCCATTATAAAACATCCATTCTCCTAAATTTCACCAGGGAATAGAAGAGTGAAGCTGCCTATTCACTTCCCCAGTCTTCATATTCAAGGTTTGTTGAGTACTTAATCTTCTATGTATAGCAGACATCTACCTTCATGGTTCCACTTAAATTTTAGGCTTTTTTTTTTATTTCAATGAAGAATGTCATTGGTATTTTGATAGGGATTGCATTGAATCTGTAGATTGTTTTGGATCATATGGACATTTTAACAATATTGATTCTTGCAATCCATGAACATGGAATACCTTTCCATTTTTTAATGTCATTTTCAATTTCTTTCATCAGTGTTTTATAGTTTTCATTGTAGAAATCTTTCACTTCTTTGGTATGGTTTATTCCTAGGTGTTTTATTTTATTTGTAGCTATTATAAATGGGATTATTTCTTGTTTTTTTTTTCTTTCTTTTTTTTTAAGATTATTTGCTCTTGGCATATTGAAATGCTGCTGAATTTTGTATGTTGATGTTGTATCCTGCAAATTTAATGAATTTGTTTATCAGTTCTAGCAGGTTTTTTGTTGGAGTCTTTAGGTTTTTCTAAATATAAGATTCTGAGAAAAAAGAACAAAGCTGGAGGCATCACATGACCTGACTTCAAATTATACTACAAACCTGTAATAATCAAAACTGCATGATACTGGCATAAAAACAGACACATAGACCAATGGAACAGAATAAAGAACCCACAAATAAACCCACACATTTATAGTCAACTAATTTTCAACAAAGGCATCAAGAACATACATTGGGCAAAGGACAATTTCCACAAGAAATGATGCTGGGAAAACTAGATATCCATATGCAGAAGAATGAAATTAGATCTCTATCTCTTGCCAGATACAAAAACAAAATCAAAATGGATTAAAGACACATTTAAGACCTAAAACTATGAAACTACTAAAAAACAAACATTACAGAAGCACTCCGGGACATTGGTCTGGGCCAATTTGAGGTAAGCCCTCAAATGCACAGGCAACCAAAGCAAACATGAACAAATTAGATTACGTCAAGCTAAAAAGCTTCTGCAAAGCAAAGGAGACCATCAACAAAGTGAACTAAAGAACCTGTTGAATGAGAGAAAATATTTGTAAACTACCCATCTGACAAGGGATTAGTAACCAGAATATATAAAGAGGTCATATAACTCAATTGCAAAAAAAAAAAATCTGATTTAAAAATGGACAAAAGATCTGAGTAGACATTTCTCAAAAGAAGACATACAAATAGCCAAGAGGTACATTAAAAACAATGTTCAACATTACTAATCATTAGAGAAATGCGAACTAAAACTACAATGAAGTACTATCTCACTCCAGTTAAAATAGCTTTTATCAAAAAGATAGGCAATAATGGATGCTGACAAGAATGTGGAGAAAAGAGAACTCTTGCACAGACTGTTGGTAGGAATGTAAATTAGTACAGGAACTATGGGGAAGAGTATGAGGGATCCTCAAAAAACTAAAAGTAGAATTACCATATGATCCAGCAATTCCAGTGCTAGGTCTATATTCAAAAAAAAAAAAAGGAAATCAATCCATGGAAGAGACATCTGCACCCCCATGTTTAGTACAGCACTATTCACAATGACCAAGATATGAAATCAGCCTAAGTGTCCATCAACAGATGAGTGGATAAATAAAATGTGGTACATATAGACAGCCATAAGAAGAATGAAATCATGTCATTTGCAATAATGTGGATGAAATTAGAGAACATTACATTAAGTGAAATAAGCCAGGCACAAAAAGACAAATACTGCATGTTCTCACTCATATAGGGGAGTTTAAAAAAAAACTGACCTTATAGAGATAGTGAGAAGAATGATGGTTACCAGAGGCTGGGAAAGGTAGTAGGGGAGGGGGAAGGATAAAGAGGCATTGGTTAATGGGTACCAAAATACCGTTAGAAGGACTAAAGTCTGGCATGCACAATAGGATGACTATAGTTAACAATAATTCATTGTATATTTCAAAATAACTAGAAGAGTCAAATTAGAATGTCTCTAACAAAAAGAAATGATAAATGCTTGAGGTGATGGATATCCCAATTACCCTGATTTGGTCATTACACATTGTATGCTTATATCAAAATATATGTGTCTCATAAATATGTACAACTATTATATACCCATAAACATTTTTAAAAGCAAAAAAAAATCTGTCTTTAAGGGTTTGGAATACCATATGAATTTATACAGTAAATAGATATATCAAAATGAGTCAAAGGAAAGCTGGAATTTCTTAAGGTATCAAATGGCCCTATAATTATCATACATACCTGATTCATATTTTTCTTGTTGGATCCAGCCCATAAGGACATAAATTCGCTACATATCAACCAGAGTATCTTATTGTTGCAGATTTTGGTAGAAGCTATCTTCGTTTTCTTATCTTCTAAAAAGAAACCTTTGGTACCAAAAACAGCCTATGAAAGTAAATAATAATTATCTTTGAATGAGATAAAATATTTGCAGACTATCCATATTACAAGGGATTAGTAACCAGAATATATAAGGAGCTCAACTCAATAGCAACAACAAGGACAACAAGCCCAAATAGCAATAGCAAAAAACCAAAATTCAAGAATCATCTTCAGACTTCTTGACATTTCTTTCATTCTAGGAAAGAGCCATGCTTGGGGATCTATTTGTACTTACTGATTCAGTCAAGGAGACCAAATTATTCAGGAAAAGTTACTTAGGAATGTGTCTCCAGATGAGGAAGAGTATCAAATATTATTTACAAGGAGATTGCAATAAAGGCCCTCAATCCCAAATTCACTTCTCCATAGTGAAGCTTCCCTGTATTCTGCCCAGTCAGTGCTTGCCAATATTTTTTTCTCATTAATTGGTATGAAATGTAGAACAGTTTTTCTTAAGGTCAAATAATACCTTGAATATAAGGGAAAATCGGGGTTTTCCATGTTACCCATGTGTACACTGCATTCGAGTACTGTCCCAGATTAGCCAGCTCTCAGGCTGAAAAGTAGAGAACAGTGAGCCAAAGAGAAGCAACCATTGAACAGAAAAGATATGATAATGTCACAAAGGCAGCACAATTGAAACTTCCAGGAGTTGGGAAAGTAAACTTGGATGGGGATTCCTGGTGGGGTCTTGGAGCTTCTGGGGGAAACTGACGGAAGAAAAGAGCAGGATATGGGACTTAAAAGTAGCAGGAATATTGACAGTGGGAAATGTGAAACTGAGATAACCCAGGAACATTATTTGCCTTATAGCTGACCTATGTAGGAAGAGCAACACAAACAACGCATATATGTATTTACAGATAGATGTATCTCTCTCTGAATTTAATTTAACAAATTAGTTTGCTCACACTGTCCAAATATAGAAAACATTAAAACCTAACTGATGTCAACACATTTTTAAATAAACTAGAAAAGCTCTTGAATAAGGAAGTTACATCATTTGTGCTCTCAGTAAACAATACAATAAAACTATTATCAGACCATAGTATTATCAGACCTAACTATTATTAGGCCCTATGGAAATTATTCCTTGTGTTAGCTCACAAATAATTTTTTTCATTCCTACCACTCTACCCCAAACCAACGTCTCATTTTCTTATATATGAATTATTTTGATATTCTAACTGGTCTCCTTGACTTCAATTTTGGCCCAAATCCATTTTATCCATCATCCCAAGTTCAAAGGCCAATCTGGAATTTGATTAAATGCTGTGTTCATTGTGGCAATGACCTTTGTAGAGAAACAAAAGCAAAGAGAAAAAAAAAAAAAACCCTTTAATAGATAAAATCCCAAATCCACAATTGGCAACCAAATGACTTTTTCAACTCCTGAAAAATAACCAATAAATATTTGAATTAATACTTGAGCTGTAATACATTTAGGCTTTGGAATCTTAGCTTTAGTTATTAGGGCAAGTTTCCATATTGGAAGGAATATATTAATCAGGTTTTTCTAATGTCAAAATTGGACACATCAGTGATTATGGGTAACTTGAAGTGTCTTTCATTTGGGCAATGTGAATTCATTGACCTACCTGACTAAATGGAACAAAAAACACTTGGGAAAACAAGAAAAATCCTTGTTGTCATATAGCACTCAGTTCAGCTAGAAATTCTGACATATACTCAGCCTGCTGATGACCTTGTATAGTAAATTGTATTACAGAACCTGCAGATACTATGGCACAGACATGCGCACACGCAGGGACACACATACACAAGCACATACCCACAGAGTCTAAGTTCTATAGATTTTATCTAAATTTCCTACTTTTACTTTACAGTAGATTTGAAAATAATAAGGATTTATGATCCAAAATGAGATCCTCAGGTACATTTTGTTGAAAGGAGCCTACCTTGATTATGGAATTTGGAAGTAGAAAAAACCTGGTAAAAATGCCCGTGGGATATTTGAATGAGATCGTAGGACCCAAGGCAAAATTCATTTTGATTCTTTGTGCCAGTTCAGGCATGGTGGAAAAGGCTACAAACCCTGAGAGAACAGGAGATAAGACAATCTTGTAAAAATAAATACTTACGCAGTGTTTCTAACAAAATTGGGGCTCTGCTTAGTCATTTTTTCCTTCTATCGTGATCATACTGGGGATGAATTGGAAGTCTTCTGAGTTATTCTATAAAGATAATCTGCCTTCAGTCTTCTCTGCTCTCAAGTCTCCAATTTTATTTTATTCTATTTATGGACAGTTTGACTTGATTGGGGGAAATGGAGTAGTTGGCAGGGGAAAGGTGATGGTTAAGCTGCTGGAGTAGCTACTGCTGTGTAAACTTCCCAAGCATGGGGTAAATGCTGGCAACATTCTCATTTCATCCCTAACTCTGAGATGCCAGAATGAATCACAGAGTTTCCAGAAGCAAATAATCAGTCACAGGAGGTGAATTGATTTCTTTCTGCAGCATCACCCAGTTATTCTAACAGGTTTTCTTTCTCACTATGGAATGAAATTTCACTGCTCCCAGTGTCTTACTGGGTGTTTTTCAACCCTCTAGACTCTTCCCTGTTTCCAAAAAGAAAGGGGCTTTCCCTAGCATCCACGATGGCCCAGTAAGGACCAGGCATCTCCATTTGCTTTGCTCTTTCAGCAGTAGCATTGCACCCCTTTGTATATCTGTGAGGATGGAGATTAGCACAACACTGGGTAGGCTAGGGAGAATATCCATATAATTTGGTTTCCAGAGGTCCCTTCCTGGGCCTCCACTGGCATGTGTGTGTGTGTGTGTGTGTGTGTGTGTGTGTGTGTGTGTGTGTGTACTGAAACACTTGTTGGAACATTAAAACTGTCTTGGCCAGAAAAAGAAGAACTGAAATAATTGACTGAACAATTGATAAAAAGACTCTGAATCAGGAATAGTACTTCCCCAGAGGGTGTTTGGAAATGTGTGGAGGTGAGATTTTTGAGGGTCACGCTGACTGCAGAGCCCTGTTTAATGGGCTGGGACCTACTAAATGTCCTACAAAGAGTGGGTGCTCCTTACATAACAGAAATTGCTCTGTCCAAAATGCAAACAACAGTCACTAAAAATATTTATGTCCTAAATGAAACACAGAGCACAGATAATCAAATTCTCCATGGTTTTTTTTTTTTTTTTTTTTTTTTTTTTTTTTTTTTTTTTTTTTTTTTGCAGATCAAGTATAAGAGCATATCTAAGTCCTACCCACTTTCCAAAACCAACTAAAGTCATTTCTTCTTCTCTACACCATTTCTCCGGAATCCTTACACACCCTATTGGTGAAATCAGATACATCTGGTTTGAATCTGTGTTCTGAACTTGTGTTTCTTCTTCTATGAGATGGGGATAATAACATTCGGGTTGTTTTGAAGATCAGAGGGAGATACTGTGGGGAAGGTCCTGAACACAAGACCCTACACATAACGAATGCTCAATAAGTGTTAGATACTGTAATTATTTGCCTATTGGTGGCATTTTTGATCTCCTATGAGTTCTTTGATACTTTTTTAGTATATGCTGACTGATGCTAACTGCCTGTTCTGAGCTTGGAAAGTGCCTGTCAATCTAAAATACTAATGAATATATGTTTGTTACTGATGATAGTGGTGATAATGAAAATATTTCCCTAAACTGAAATATTGCACTTTCACATGATTTATTCTCTTAAAATTGGAAACTTTAGTGGAAGTTCAATGACAAATTCAAAGCTTTTATTAGTGTGGGTTCCTTTCAACTTTTACTTGGAACTAGATTATTGATTTCTTTCCAAAATACCTGGAAAGTAAATTGTAAAGTAAATTAAGTAAAGTAAGTAAATTAAGAAGTAAGTTGTCAGCTTAAAAAACTTTAGAAATTTCTACATAGTGCTTACATTTACTTGCTATTTCATAAATACTAAATCACACACTGAATAGATAAGCTCAATTGATTTATTATAGTAAGCTTGTGTGTTCCAACTCACAAACAAATATAACCATGCCTTTTCAGTTTGTTTAAATATAGGTATAAGCCCTTCCCTTTTATTTTTTAAAAATCCCATTTGGGTTGTGAGAAAGAGATGATTGATGCACATTTATTATGTTTCAGCCATATTCCATGGCATTGAATTTTACTTTTTCAGCTCAGAGGGAATCTAGAAACTTACTCTGTGGAATTATTTCTTTGAATTTGGAACACATGTTATTCCTGGGAAGTTGCATCACCGTAGTCAATATGCTGCTGTGACCAGAGACCCAGGAAAGGTTTGCCCTACATATAGTCTGTGCACTGCAGGCTCACAGCTACTTAGAGTACTAGGGTTATTCCCAGCAGAGGACAGGGAATTGAGGGCACTATAAGTAACAGTTGTTTTATTCCAACATAAAGGTGAACTCCTGTAAGACTCTGAGAAAACTGACCCTCAAAAACACACCTAACAGTGACCCTCATAAACATACCTATTGTAGTGCCAAGTGAATGTCCAATGAAATACAATTTCTCCTGACCAGTTTTATTTACAATGAAGTCTATTACTCCTGGGAGATCATATTTGGCCATTTCATCAAAACTGCAAAATAAAACAGGGGCTTTTATAAATACTTGCAAGTTTAAGTTTAAAACTCAGAGCACTTGCTCACTTCTTTTTTACACCCAGATTCTATGCTGTTTACTTAGATTCAATGTGTATTTCATTATTTATCCAATTATATGTAGGCTATTGTAGCTTTTTGTTTTTCTGCATATGTACATTTTACTTCCTTATAAGAGGAACACTTTCGAAACTTGTGTATGATATTTGAAGTTCAACCTTATGATCCCTCCTCTTCCTTCCCTTCTCTTGCTTTTCTTTGCCCTCCCTTTCCCCATCTGGCTTGTGTGCCTCTACTTCTGACTCCCACATGAGGCTTCACAATTGTTAGGACCATTTAATACCCATCTTTGGAAACAGGGGTTTTGTAAATCATGATTCTACTATTTATGGCCTTTGCAACTCTTGAGAAATTACTGAAATGCTCTGAGCCTATGTTTTCTCATTTGGGAAATAAACAGGGTAGTACCTGGTTTACGGGGCTGCTAACGGGGTTTAATAGTATGAAAGAAACGACTCTGGCTGCCAGTGGGTGCTCAGTAAGATGTTGTTAGTAGTAGTATTCCTGTCCACATGGATATATAGATATATATTTAATATATACCAATATTCCATAGTACTAGTATTTTGTTCTTCAGACAGGAGGAACAAAAGGGCCTATATAACATTTAGTCAAATCAAGTATTCCATAAGCTAGAAGCCTGTTTATTAAAAGAACATGTGAGGAAATCTATAGATTGGGACTTACAAGAATAGGAGAATTGTTGTGACACCTCCTAAAGACTAATGATTCAATATTTCCTGATGCTTGCCCCTGCCCAAGAACTCAGACTATAACATTCTATTCTATTCCTCCACTATTCTCAAACTTTCAGTGGGTACTGAATGTTTTATTAATGTAGTAGGAATACACACTCTGTTCTAGCATCAGGTTTACAAACCAACAGGGAGCTTAGGCCTGAAGAAAGAAAAGTCTATCGCAGGCATCAGCCTGTCCTCTGGTGACAGCAGAAAACTCTTCCATTAAAAGAAACAAGATATCAAAAAAGATTCTTCTTCATTGCCCATTAAAAAGGTTTTAAAAATCTAATATTGGAGTTTTCCTGAAAATGGTACTATGTGCGATCTCAGTTTCTCTAAATCAATCACAGTTTCTCTAAATCAATAAGGTCCTGGTCCAAATCATCTTTACACAGTTGATTGGCCATCCAGGAGCAATGACTTGTAAAATTATCACTAAAATGAACATAAGCTTTGTGAGGTCAGAGAGTTTGTCTGTTCCCTGTTTGAATGTTCGGGGCCTAGAACAGCGCATACAGTAGCCACTCAGTAAACATTGGCTGAATGAATGTGCACATTGGTCATGATAATTTCCTGAGCTGTCTCTTTGGACATACTTTTAATGCATAGAATTCACAGAATTGGATGTAAAAATGATCTTGTTGAAATGCCATACTTTGCCTGTGGGAGAATCAGTGAAAAATCAGAGCTTCTTGCTGTTACCCTCCTTTGAGATCTTAACAGAAACTACAAGGAGCTATATGACTTCAAGCGTCAAAGATAATCATTAATAGCGTCCACGTTATTTTTTTTAAATTGCCTCCAATTTCCCCCTTGAGTTTTCTTAGCTAATATTTACCTAAAGGCCCAGAATTTCTCATCTGTCTCTGAGAGTGTTTTGTGTCTTCTTGACCAAGTGTTTCCCCGACTGTTTCCCATCCATACATCATAACCTGCATCTGCTAGAAGGAATCCAAGGCTTCCATTAGCATAATTCTCAAGCCAGTAGGCATTGTCTGCAAACAGGGCATGCTGCATATACACAACTGGCCGGGGACCTGGTGGGGGAAAGGGTAAGATGAGAGAGGGAGAAAGAGAAAGAGAGAGAGAGAAAGAGTGAGAGTAATTTATGTTAAATAGAGCATGTCGGAAACATCACAGACACACACACATACACACATGGTAAAACAAAAACTGTTTTCACTTTTCCCTTGTCAATAGTATAGAGCATTATAATCAGGTAACTTCAGTTTCTTGAGCACATATTTTTGTACCTGGTGCTATGTTGACGTATTTATATGTATTAGCTTACTAAATTCTTGCAACAACTCTATAAACTAGCTGCTATTTTGAGAAACCTCATTTTGTAGATATGGAAACAAAACTTTATGTAGTTAAGTAACTTTCCCAGAGGGCCACCCAGATAAGAAGGCCAGAGCAGGGACTCAAACCCAGTTCTTTTTATGTCAAAGTCTGTCCTGATAACTACTGTGCTCTATGTATTTGTATATACAAATTTCCTGGGTGTGGTTTACAAAGACACAAAATTTATCATGCTTACTCAAGTCCTATAGCTCTTCCAGGGAGGAAGAGGAGGTGAGTGTAAATGGACACTGATTAGTTCCTCACCAAATTTCTATTCAAATCCCCATCCTCTGTCCAGTGGAGAGCATTTAAAAACTACAATAATATGCTCAGCTCAGTGTCCCTCTGCCAACTTCCAGATTTCTGAGGGAGAGAGAGCATTCAGGGAGATCCAAAGAACCAGGGTGGAAGGTCAAGTAAGGCACTATAATTTAATGACTAAGAGCACAGGCTCTGGAGCCAGCATGCCTGGGCTTAAATTCTGGTCTGTCAGCTTGCTATTTGTGGACTTTAGGCCTCTTAACATAACCGGTTGTGCCTTAATTTCATCATTTGTGAAATGGTGACTATTAGTGGTACCCATCTCATATTGTTGATGAGAAGTTTAACTGATATAAAGTATTTAGAACATTACATCTAATGAATGATCTTTAATTCTAAATCTTTCCAAAATTATCTCTCCTTAAGCCAAATCTTTCCCATAAAAGTTTTCTCCTTTTATATTTCACAGCTCCTTCACACATGTGCCTGGGATTGCCAGATTTAGCAAAAAATAAAAACAAAAGTAAGCAAAAAGTTCCAGGATGCTCTACAAAATTTTATAAATAGTGATAATAGTGAATAAATAATGACTTTTTAGTATTATCTTAAAATGAGACTTATACAAAATTATTTGTTGTTTATCTGACCTTCAAATTTAACTGGGTGTTTCATATTTTAACTAGTAAAACTACTCATATCTCACTCTCATTTTTCATTCTGAAACTGGAGATAAAAGAGGGAGAGAATGTCAAACATGACCTCAGCTGCTCCTTAATATGTGTGGTGGGAAAAAAGATGCAAAATGAACACGGTAAGCAGCTGCCAATAAATTATTTGCTATTGAACCATTGCAGATATTTTGGTTATTCTTATCATTTCTACTTCAGAGGATTTGTAGTTAAATTTTCCCTTTTAAGGAGTATCATTCCCCTGCTATGGCATGGCTGGCTCCTCATTCTAGAATTCAAGCCTTATTGACACCATACTCTTTCATTCTATGAACCGTCTGTCCCTTAGATCAAAGTGTATGTGGATGTTAAGGTTTTCAGTCCTGGAAAACTTTTCAGAAATGCGTTGTCATTTAACTAGATTGTTTTTTATCCTGCAGAGGGAGGCCCCTTAATTTTAGTGGGAGCAGGAGAGGTTCTTCTTGGGTGCCCCAGAGTCAATTTCATACAACCTAGAAAATCTCCTTCTGACAATGAGAGGATCCATTTTCCTGGGACAAAGCAATTTTCCACATGATAAATCAGTAATGAGGTGACAAAATGCAGGCTCTGCCTTTCTGTTTACACCCTAACAAGTACCTCTGGTTGCAGTTAGCAAGATCAGTCTTGCTGTTTGTATTTTTAGGTTCCTGTCTGTCTTCAGAGAATTATCAGGCAAAGAGTGAGCCTCCCTGATAACTATTTAAAGACTAATCCAATAATTCAAACCAATTTTGATAAACTCTGTTGATGCATATCTAGCATTAAATTCCTCCTGAGAAGCAGGAGGTCAATGCAGTCCCCTTTTCAGGAGAGACATATCTTGTACCTGTGCTCCTAGCATGTGTTCGCCCATAAGGAATTCTGTTGACAAGGAGTATATACCCATCTTCAGTGGTGACTTCATACTCTTCACTGGGGTAGCCATTGTAGATGATGATTTCACTCTGCCCAGTAAAAATACAGTCGTTAGTGGAACTTCTCCAAAGGATATAAAAAGGAATCAAAACAAACCATCTGTTGTGTGCTTATTAGGGTGAATTATCTGAAATTTGTAGCACCAGGTAACTGTAAAATTAATAAATAAAGTCTTAATACAAAATAAGTAGAATTTTAAAAAATATCTACTATTGGCTAATATTTTGGGGGGTTGGGGGAAAATTTAGCATTGACCCATTCTTTCTGACAAAGCTATATTATCAAGTCAATTGTCTTTTGAGACCCCTCTTGCTTTAAAAGTAATAGAACTATAGATCAATAGAAGGCAATCATGTACATCAACAAATAGCTTGATATTCTTAAAACATAAATTCAAAAGAGGAGGTTCTATCTATAGATAGATAGATAGATAGATAAATAGATAGATAGATACATAGATAGATAGATAGATAGATAGATAGATAGATAGATAGATAGCACAATAGCACAATTTGGTTTTCATTACCGGACAGTATTTGTTTTTCAGACAAAGATCTAACTAGCTTGACTCTTGCAGAGGTTAAAAACCATCTACATTTTATCTGTTTTATCAGAGATTTTCTGTTACAACAGGACCTTTCGTAACCTCATACTCCATTAGTCCTGCTTTATTTGATGTTCTTCACAGTTTTCCATGACTTACAGTATTCATCCACACCTCAGGATTCACTTCATTTTCCAAATCAAGGAATCCACCAGCATTTAAAGTTCCACAGATCAAACAAGTTGTTGTTAAAAGCAGCCACATCATAGAAATGCCTGGCATAAAACATTTAATATTCACAGATTAATTTTAACTATCAATGTTGATTAATGAAATAAAATGATTAGTGAAATTATTAATGATTAATGAAAACTTGAATAACACCGAAGGCAGATAATGTATAAAAAGGAATAAATACAGTGAACTAACTTGGAGCACTATTAATCTATTTTTTCATGTAGAAGTTGTCTTGATTATAATCCAGTTCCTAAAATGAAATAAATTTAATCAAGTATGGAGGCATTTTTGGTCTTATTTTAATCAAGGTTGAATTGCTTTAAGTCTTTGTTTGCCTACAATTTGACAAAATATCTAAAGATTCAGAGGACAGGTTTTCATACCATGGCCAAGTAAAAAGTGGAGGTATCCCCTAGTTAAGCCCAGTATCCCACAAAGTAAACAAGAAAAATGGATCAATAAAACTTTAACCAAACACAAAAGCTTATGATTAGTTTCTAGTGATGTGATTATTTCTCACGTGGCACCCAAAGGCAAATTTTGCGTATTTCAATGTGCAGTCTCACTTCCTTGCCATGGTTTAAAAGTATGTCTATTCAAAGGTAGACCAACACTATAACACTAAACAGCGTGCTCATCATATAAGTGCTACAGTCAAATGGTCTAAATTTGAAATCCAGCCTCACCACAGAAGAAGATGTCTAACCTCAGGCAAGTGTTTTAGTAGCTTTGTCTCTTGGTTTCCTTGTTAGTAAAATTAGGACAATAATGTAACCTATCTCATAGGGTTATAGTGAGGATTAAGTCATATATAACATTTAGTGCAGTGTAAGTTCTTAATAAATGCTTTCACTATTTTTCTTATAAAAGTGAGCAAGAGATAAATATTACAGATAATTCACTATAACAAAGTAATATTTAACTTCTAGAAATGCAGAGTTTACTTCTGAAGCTAAATAGCTTTGCATACATTAGCTATCTGGTTGAAGATCATCTTATATCTGCAAATATTATGAAACTTTTCAAATTGTATGAAACTAATAATAAGCTACTGAGTCCCCTTATGGCAGGCATTACTCTAAATAGTTCACGTATGTTATTTAAGCTCTGAAAATCTCCCTAATTTTGGTACTATTATTATCCTCATTTTATCAATTAAAAAAACAAAGGCTTAGAGAGATTTAAGACCTGCTCAAGGTCACAGAGCCAAGAGGTGAGAGATCTAGGATGGACACTCAGGCAGCCTCACTGCAGAGCTCTTGCACCTGACTGCCAGTGCAACTGGCACCTTCCAACCTGCCTCCTGGTTATGATAGATCTTCATCTTACCTAGTTAGATGAGCTTCACCTGCTCACAAGGACTCCTTATTGATGAGGAACTTCTGAACTTTTGCTTTTGACATCAGGCTGAAGAGTAAGAGATGATTACAGTGACAGTTAGAAGCTAGAGAGATGAGAAACAGGAAGCTTGTGAAAAGGAGGAAGCTTTAGACTGAGACACACACCCAAGGCGTGTCCCTGACACACCAAAGGCCATGATGCACTTGCAGGTTGGGAAATAGTGGTCTACATGATGCAAAATAACCAGTTTGACGGAATCCTTCATGTTTCCACTGAGTATCTGTCATTGTTGGGAAGACTTAGCAACATTTTCAAACCAGTGTGTCAAACAGGGAAGTAGAACATACTCAAGATCTTAATGGACAATCAGAGACAATAGTATCTCCCTTCCCCATTTGATCCTTCATGAGGATCAAACGGAGTAACATATATCAAGGAACTAGTGCCAACCATGCAGTGCGTAGGGATGTGCGTGACTGTAACTCATTTGAGAAGATGAGGCAACCCTGACTCCTAAATCCTGAAACCAGAAGGAATTTGGAACTAGCAGTATGGCAGAGGAAACTAATTCACATGCCAAAGGGATTTGGGTTGCTGTCAACTTTGGCACAGTAACCTTTGTTTACACCAGTGGTTAAAGGCAGAAATGGAGGCCAAATAACGACAATTTACCTCTAAGCCCCACATGAGATACCAGATAATGGAGGCACACGTGCCTCAGTTTTCTGCTTCACTTTGTATGCCTGTGGAGCTTAAGCCGTAACTGAATCTCTTTCATCTCCCAGCATGAAGAAGGGTAGGGAAAACTAAGTTGCTACCCAGCATAATATAGAAGTTTCAGTTCTATTAGTTTGGATTTATCCTCAAATCCTTTCAAAAAAAATGATATTTTGTGTTGTCCAAATCCTAAGATCTGTTTTAGTGGAGTGGGAAATTTCATGCCAATTAAACAAATGTGGAGTAAAAGGAAGTGTTCAGCTAGTCAGAACAGGGAAAAGTTATGTACCACTCCTTAATCATTTAGTCTTGATGAAAGACTCAAGCATGTTTTGCCCTGATTGATAGTATGATGGCATAGGTATGTGGATTTTCCTGGAATTTCTCATGGTTTTTAACTTCAAAAACAATCCTTTCTAACAAAACTTTATTGGACTCTTTAGAAAGTTCTAGAAGTGCTATGTTATTATTATTAATATTGATTTGTTGCCTTGACTTAATATGGAAATAGCACAAATATAGTTCAATTTCACAGATCTTTACAGATTGTAGGCTAGCTCAAATCTTAAAAGAGTTTCTACATCATTGACTTATATTCCCTCCTCAACTTCGAGTTATTTGAATAATCTGGACAATTCCTGTAATTCTTTTGTTTGTGCAGAAACAAAGTAATGTCAAAGAAATAAAGCTGAAACTTTCTCACAATGCTCCATCACTCTTCCTATATAAGCTTGCTATTTTAATAAGTATTTAATATATTACTGAGTATTATATATTTTTCTGTATTATATATTGTTCTACAATATTTAATAATATATTCTGTAATATATATTTTCTATATAATAAAAGTATATAGAAAATATATAATGTTACAATATTTCTATTATATATTTCAATACTCATACTGAAATTAATTTAAATGAATACATTAAAACTTGTTCCTTGGCCCTGTGGGATACAAAATGGTAGCCCCTACTCTCTAGAAGCTCAAATTTTTCCTTTTTTTTTTTTTTAATAAAATTAGATGATAGTGGAGCTAGAAAGGGGTAACCTTTCAGAAGGCCTGTGGTATTTTTGAAATCTCAGTCCAAGAATCATATTACGGCCTAAGCTAACTGCTTAATGATGGTTACTCATTCAATTGTGAAGATGGTGGAACACACATGGTTGAACATAGATCCTTGACTTTGGGATCTACCTGTAAAAATGATTATTATTTTTCTTCCAATGTCCTATTCAAAACACATTTCCTATTACAGTGTGGTTATCTTTTTGTTTGTTGGATTGCTTCTTTCTCCTCAAAGGCTGCTTTTTCAAATTTTCTCTTGAAAATAACTCAAAGTTAAAAAGGTTAGGCCATAACCAGCAAAATGGAAACTAGTGAGAATTTTGAAAAATAAATAATTTGAACCTCACACTTTTGAGACAAATTTCACCCTACAGTAAAAAGACTGTGCATGAACAAGAACCTGGATTTTGTCTCTTGCTCACTAGATAATTTATCTAATTTATTTTGCATCCTAAAATTCAAACAGTGCTCAATAGAACCATAAGTGTCCATAAGTCTATATGTGTGTGTGTAAAATTATTAATTAGCACACTTTTGCTTAAGAGAAAATACTTTATATTTTAAAATTTCATCTCTTTACTCAAAGCGAAGTTGGGAATGTTCATAATTACTACAAGAAACAGTGTTGTTTTTGAGATTACATATTAGCGTAGAACATGCTTTCTTTTAGTGTTAGTGAAAATGAATCTCTGTTTCAGTGACATCTATACTACATCCATCTTTAAAAACAATAATGGCTATAATAGAAGAGAGAAGTGACAAAAAGATCTATCAATCATAGTTAACTAAAATATTAAAGATTTTTGAAGAGGCCATAATAAGTTTATTGAACACACATCCATCTCAACTCAAAATGTTCAAAGGAAAGATCACTTACATTTAAAGAGAAATTATTACCAAGAGTGCCGGCAGCTGTCCTTGATAACGTCCATGTTCCGGAGTGACACGATCAGGACCATCCGTGTTTGTGACAAAGGTCAAATCCTTGTGAGAATGAAGAGGAAGGGCCATACCATTGAATATGAGGAAAATTATATCATTTTCCTGCCCCAGGCGGATCTACCTTCCTCGCTTCCTGCTTAATGTGCAGCATGTATGTGTGGTATTCTCTAGAGCTCATTTTGTATTTGAATTTCTGTAGGAGGTATATTCAAATGTAGATTCTTTAAAAAAAAAAAGACACAGGACACTTAGCTAGACATTCAAGTTGGATCTAGTTTTAATTTGTCTCATCTAATTTGCAAGAGTAAATAAATGGTGATTGGAATGTGCAAAGAGGTAACATTGTTGTTTTGATATATGCTCCTGTTTTTTTTTCCTGAGTTAATGTTCTATTTTGAGTTACTATTAAATCACCTTCAAATCTCACCAGCACCCCTGAAAATAGATAAATTGTTTTTAGAGTTTCTTAATTTCATTCCTCCTCTAATCACCATCATCATCAAAAATTTTTGCGGACTGAGTGAATGAGTGATTGAATAGATGATTCTGGAAGTCCAGAGAATGCAGCTTAGTTACTGAAGAATACTAATAATGTTATTATAAATAATAATAGTGAATTATTTATTATTTATTAAGTACATAGTATGTGTCAGGTATTTTACTTTGATATGCTACCAACTTGGCTGTAAATTCCACTGGCTTTCTTTGCTGTTACAAAGGAAATTTTTCTTAACATTACCTACTAAATTTAATAGAAAACAGGAAATTCACGGGAAAAATTCAATCTTGTCCTGTTTTTTAACTAAATTGGAAGAGATACATTGCTATTTACAGATTGCAAACCACACGAATACAATTTAAAAATTGCTACCTGATAGCATTTTTTCTCTTTTTCAGCCTCCAAATTATTCTTAAACCTAGTAACCACTATAGCACAATCTGATATCTTTTACACAGTCTGTATTTTTTCATTTTTCCATACATTTAAAAAATCTTATAAATGCAGAGATATTCCATTTTCCTAGAAATAACCAGAATTTTCAGGGGATAGTTACCTTACTCTTTTCACTATCTGAGCATGGTCCAATAGAAATATAATGTGAATTAGGTATTTAATTTAAATTTTCTAATGGCCACATTTTTAAAAAGTATAAAAGGTGAAATTAAATTTTAAAATGCATTTTATTTAAACCAATGTGTTCAAAATATTATCATTTCCATATGTAGTCAATATCATTATTAGTGAAATATTTTCTGATATGGTTTGGCTGTGTCTCCACCCAAATCTCATCTCAAGGGAGAGACCTGGTATGAGGTGATTTGATCATGGGGGTGCTGTCCCTCATGCTGCTCTCATGATATTGAGTGAGTTCTTATGAGATCCGATAGTTTCATAAGCATCTGGTGTTTCCCCTGCTTGCACTTCTCTCGTCTGTCACCATGTAAGACGTGTTTGTTTCCCCTTCCACTATGAGTGTAAATTTCCTTAGGCTTCCCCAGCCTTGCAGAACTGTGAGTCAATTAAACACCTTTCCTTTATAAATTACCCAGTCTCAGGAAGTTCTTTTTTCTCCACATCATAGCTATTATCATCATTTAAAATCACATATGTGATCTTATCTTTTAAGTATTCTTGAAAATAAGACTTCAATGATTTTGTTTTCAATATTCCGTGAGTGGCTAGGAGAGCCTAAAACCAGACTCTGCCTACCCCTTTGAGCTCATCTCAACCCATTCTCTCTTTGGCTCCTTGGGCTTCTTTAATTTTCTTAATTTAACCTAGCTCCTCACCCCTGAGTTGGTACCCTACCTGTAATATCTGGCAGATATCACGGATATCAGCCAAAATTTCATGTCTTCAGAGAAGACTTCCCTGTCCACCCTGGGGAGGGTGTACTTCTTTTTGATGACTTCATCACAATTATTAAATTAAAATTAAAGATTTAAGTATGTAAATTAGTATAGGTTGAGCATTCCTAATACAAAAATCCCAAATCTGAAATGCTCCAAAATCTAAAACTTCTTGAGCACTGAAATGCCACAAGTGAAAAATTCTACACCTGACCTTATACGACAGGTTACGCTCAAAACACAGTCAAAACTTTTGTTTCATGCACAAAATTATTTAAAATACCATACAAGCTTACTTTCAGCCTATTTGTATAGTGTATATGAAACATAAGTGAATTTTATGTTTAGATTTGGATTCCATCCCTAACATATCTTATTATGATATGAAAATACTACAAAATTCAAAATATGTCTGGTCTCAAGCATTTTGGACATAGGATACTCAAACTATAGCTGTATAGTATCTGATGTTTTCATTACTCTGAGTGCCACTTGGGCAGGAACAGTGTTTTCCTTATCATTCTTCTTGTTCTGAATGGCTAGTTTATAATACATACTTATAATATTAAAGCATAAAGGTTAAGAGCTTGGTTACCTAAAGTCAAGGTTTCAGAGTTCAGAGAACTAATATTTTAGAGAAGTTGCCCAGTATCTCTAAACTTCAGTTTCCTGATCTGTAAAGTGATAAGAATGATACCATGTTATAAGGCTATCATGAAGATTAAATGATACCATTCATGTAAAATGCTTACACTATTATTTCCTCATGGAAAAGGCTCAGTGAACTTGAATGATCGTGGAGGGGATGATTTTTGTCAAACCATATACTTCTGTGTTTTCTTCCATGTACACCAAGCAACAGTTTCATACTAGAATTTCCCATGTGTTTTATTACAGGAAAAGAAAACACTAGTCTGGCCAAATAGTAGTTCTTGATATAAATTATAAACATGTGTTTTGTTTTATGTTCTGCAGATCCTTGTACATTTCAGTTGCATGAATCAGCATGTGTAAGTGCAGTCATTTCTGGGGCAGTGACAAGATCAGTGTCAGGATATGCCAGTATGATATGCCATAGCCACCAAAGAGGTGTCTCCCTGTGAAGGCTTCTGGTGCCCTGCCAGCCAGCCTTCCCCTGCTAAGACTCAGATCTCCTTTAATATCCTCCCCATCATGTCTACAGCCCCTTTATTTATGCCAGGAAATTCTTGATAAATGAGTCTTAGCCAAGTTTATATTAATTACATGTTGTAAAATACCCCAATTTCTACAGGGCTCAATCAAGTGCTTCATGTTACTTGACACTCCCAGTCACCAAACATGTATTCATTGATCATTGACTTTGTGCCTGGGTGATTGTTTTCCAACCCTATATAAAGAAATAAAAACAAATTCAGCAATCAGCAATGCAAAATTCAGTGTCTGGCATTCAATATAATATTATTAAGCATGCAATAAGGCAGGACCCATAACTAAGAGAAAAATCAATCTATAGAACAAATTCCCAAATGACAGAGGTGACTGAATTAGCAGAAAATATGTGAAAATGTATATTAAAATATGTTAACTCAAGAATTTAGATCTATCAAACTTTTAACCAAAGAGACAGAATAATAATCATCATATATTAATATTATATATAATTTTATTATAACAGATAACATATCATATGTAGTATATTACATATTTATTATACATTGTTATCTAATTCTTTAATACATAATTATATTTTAATATATTGTATATAATGTAATTATAAATTATATAATATCATATTATGTTATGTAATTAATATAATCAAACATATAATTAATATAATTGTTATATAACAATAACAAATAGTAGTAGTAGTTTACTATTGCTGATAACAAATTACCACAAGCTTAGCAGTTTAAAACAATATACATTTATTATCTCACTGTTTCTGTGTGTCAGTAGTCCAGGCATGGCATAACTGGGTCCTCTGCTCAGGATCTCCCCACGTTACCTTCAAGGTGTTGGCCAGGATGCTCTCTCAATGGGAGGTTACTAGGGAAGAATGGGCTTCCAAGTTTATTCAGGTTTGGGCAGAATTCATTTTCTTGAGGTTATGTGACTGAAGGCCTTGGTGTTTTGCTGTTTTATCAGCTGGAAGCCACCCTCAGATTCCAAAAGCTATGCTCAGTTCCTTGTAAGGTCAGTTTTCTCAACATATCTGTTTATTCCATCAAGCTAACAAGGAGAATCTTTTGCTCCAATCTGCTAAGATGACGTGCAGTGGCATGATCTTGGCTCACTGCAACCTCTGCCTGCTGGGTTTAAGCGATTCTTCTGCCTCAGCCTTACAAGAAGCTGGGATTACAGGTGCATGCCACCACATCCGGCTAATTTTTGTATTATTAGTAGAGGCAGGGTTTCACCATGTTGGCCAGGCTGGTCTGGAACTCCTGACCTCAAGTGCTCCTCCAGCTTCGGCCTCCCAAAGTGCTAGGATTACAGGCGTGAGCCACCAAGCCCCGCCAACTTCTTGTATAATGTAATCAGGGATTGACATTTTATCACCTTTGCCATATGACAAAACCTAATCAAGGGTGTGACATCTTACACCTTTGCCAGTTCTGTTGGCTTGAAAGAAGTCTCATATCCCACCCACATTGAATGGGAGGAGATTATACAAAGGCATAGATACTAGAAGCTGGAAATCACTGGGGATCACTCTAGTGTCTGTTCATCTCATTATTATTATGAAAATCCACTTGCTTAGAGAAAGTAAAGTGCATTTAATTTTGTAAATATTCTTCCATCAATATAATTAGGTCTTGGTAAATTTCCTGAGGTGCATCCTCTCCAAGGTAAAAATCCACATGATTGTAGTGTGGAATCAGCTTGTAATAAATAAGGTTAGCAATTTGAGGAAGTAAATTTTCAACATCCTTGGGATCAGCCACAATGTCCTGTCCACCATTCCATATTGCTGTTGGAACTTCCATCTTAGTAATGTTGTATAAAGGAGGTGTAAGCTAAATACAATAAAAGAGAGAGAGAAAAGTTTTTACAGAATATTACATTATAGAAGTAACATTAACTGTCAGCTGTTGAGCAAGTTCTTTAAATGCTACAAGTGTACAATTAGTTTACACTTAATGGTATATAAACATTAAAATGTTAAAAATACTTGAAACCATTCTCGTGCAGTAATATGAATTGTGAATCGAAAAAAACAATTCAATTATTGTATTTCTGACTTGCACGTTTGGGAAAATAAAAGATTCTGGAGGAAGAGCATTCTTTTTTCCATGGGGGATCATCTTTCTAGTTAGCATTTGATCTCAGAATGTGACCTTTTCAAACAAAATGTCGGATAGGATAAATATCCCTTCTCTTAGTCACAAATCTGGGCTCAGTGGCATTATTAATATTTGGGAATCAGCAGACTCTTCAGGGAGCATTGAGACCAAGGCATGAAAGACATTTGAAGTATGATGCTAAAAAGGAGTCAGTCTGTTACAAATAACTAGAGTGGCTATAGCACTCTATAAACTCTCAGCAAGTTTTCCCTTACCGCTTCTTTCTTGTATTGATACAACACAACCTCTGTTCCAGGTAACCAGGTCTGGCCAATTCGTCCTCCATTCTTCAGGTCACAGTGATTGTATGAGAGATGGGCACGTGACTAAAACTGGGCCAGAGGTCCCTCTAGAACTTTTTGCCATAGCCATTGAGAATATAGTATCTTTTGGTGGGAGTTGGGGTTAGGGGGCCTTTGGAAAAACTATATGAACTAAGTAAACCTAGTCACCACTGTTTCCTCACAAGAGACAACCGTATTCTGAAACAGTGTGTGTGTGTGGCATATCCCCACCCCACTCCTGCCACGTACATCTAACTATAGCAGCTGGGGAGAAAAGTCAGGTTTTTCACAACAGTTAGAGTTGAGTTATACATTTTCACTATTATAGTTGTTATAGTAGTTGTTATGATGACATTAAAAATTCCCACATTAAAATTTTTTGGCTGGGCATGGTGGCTCACGCCTGTAATCCCAGCACTTTGAGACACTGAAGCAAGAGAATCGCTTGAGCCAGGAGTTCAAGATTAGCCTTTACAACATAATGAGACCCTGACTTTATTTTTAAAGGTAAAAGAAAAAAGAAATTAAAAAAAAGAATTTTTTTTTCCCAAATTTCTACATCCTAGATTTGAAAAACCCAAGTATCATTCATGACTACTTTTTCAGTTTAAGCTCAGTCTATCGGCAAGAAGCCAAAATCATTATTGGATTTCCTCACATACTTGGGAATAAAATAACAATAACAATACACATTTCCCTTTAATATAAAACTTTTCTCTAAAAGTTTTCGTAGATCTGGTGACACACCAGATCGAAAATAGTACTATTTGCTAGGGAATGACATGCTAAGGCACACTATCCCTGGCAGATACTACTACCTCCTAAAAATGATACTTCTTACTTATATCTTTAATGATCCATATAATGGTATTTAAAAAGTGGCTAGTAAATGACATCCTAAAGAACTATTAGGCAGTCTTAGTTATTAAACATAGATAAGAAGTCAGAGAATATACTTTAAAAACAAACATGTTTTTTGTTTGTTTGTTTGTTTTTTGTTTTTGTTTTTTTGAGAAGGAATAAGTGTAGTGGAGAAGACTAGACTTTAAATCCAGGAAACCTGGGTCGTATTCTGGTTGATTTTTTTCCCCTTCCAACTTTTATTTTAGATTCAGGGGGTACATGTGCAGGCTTGCCACATAAGTAAATTGCATATCATGGAGGTTTGGCTTACAAATGATTTTGTCATCCAGGTAATGAGCACAGTACCCAATAGGTAGTTTTTCAATCCTCACTCTCCTCCCAGCCTCCACCCTCAAGTAGGCCCCAGTGTCTATTGTTCCCCTCTTTGTGTCCATGTAAACTCAATGTTTAGCCCCCACTTATAAGTGAGAGCATGTGATATTTGGTTTTCTGTGCCTGTGTTAATTTACTTAGGATAATGGCCTCCACCTGCATCCACATTGCTGCAAAGGACATTATTTCATTCTTTTCAATAGCTGCATAGTATTCCATGGTGTATATGTACCACATTTTCTTTATTCAGTTCACCTCTTATGGGCATCTAGATTCCATGTCTTTGCTATTGTGAATAGGTGCACAATGAACATACGGGTACATGTGTCTTTTTGATAGAACGATTTATATTCCTTTGAGTATATACCTAGTAATGGGATTCCTAAGTCAAATCATAGTTCTGTTTTAAGTTCTTTGAGAAATTGTCACATTGCTTTCCACAATGGCTGAATTAATTTACATTCCCACCAGTGGTGTATGACCATTCTTTCTCCACAACCTCACCAGCATCTGTTATTTTTTGACTTTTAAATAATAGCCATTCTGACTGGTGTGAGATGCTATCTCATCATGGTTTTGATTTTCATTTCTCTAATGATTATTGATATTGACCATTTTTCATATGCTTATTAGATGCATGTATGTCTTCTTTTGAGAAGTGTTTGTTCATGTACTTTGCTAACTTTTTAATGGGGGTGTTTGGTTTTTTTGCTTGTTAGTTTGCTTAAGTTTCTTACAGACTTTGGATATTAGATCTTTGTCAAATGCATAATTTGAAAATGTTTTCTCTTATTCTTAGGTTGTCTGCTTCCTCTATTGATAGTTTCTTTTGCTATTCAAAAGCTCTTTAGTTTAATTAGGTTCCACTTGTCAATTGTTTTTTGTTGCAATTACTTTTGGCATCTTTATCATGAAATTTTTGCATCTTTATCATGAAATTTTTGCATCTTTATCATGAAATTTTTGCCAGGTCCTATGTCCAGAACGGTATTTCCTAGGTTTTCTTTTAGGGTTTTTATAGTTGTAGGTTATACATTTAAGTCTTTAATCCATCTTGAGTTAATTTTTGTATATGGGAAAAAGAAGGGGTCCAGTTTCAATCTTCTGCATATGGCTAGCCAGTTATCTCAGCACCAATTATTGAATAGACCATCCTTTCCCCATTGCTTGTTATTGTCAACTTTGTCGAAGATCAAATGATTGCAGGTGTTCAACTTTATTTCTGGGTTCTCTAACCCATTCCATTGGTCTATGTGTCTGTTTTTGTACCAATACCATGCTGTTTTGGTTACTGTAGCCTTGTAGTATAGTTTGAAGTCAAGTAATGCCTCCAGCTTTGCTCTTTTTGCTTAAGATTGCCTTGACTATTCAGGCTTCTTTTGGGTTTCATATGAATTTTAAAATAGTTTTTCTAATTCTGTGTTAGATGTCATTTGTATTTTGATAGGAGTAGCATTGAATCTGTAAATTGATTTGGACAGTATGGCCATTTTAATGATATTGATTCTTCCTATCCATGAACATGGAATGTTTTTCCATTTGTATCATCTCTGATTTCTTTGAGCAGTGTTTTAAAGTTCTCATTGTAGAGATCTTTCATTTCCCTGATTAGCTGTATTCACATTTTATTCTTTTTGTGGCTATTATGATTGGGATTATGTTCTTGACTTGGCTGTCAGCTTGGACATTGTTACTGATTTTGGTACATTGATTTTGTATCCTAAAACATTACTGAAGTTATTTATCAGTGTAAGGAGCCTTTAGAATGAGACTATGGGGTTTTTTAGATATAGAATCACATCATCCATGAAAAGAAGTAGTTTGACTTCCTCTCTTCCTATTCGAATGCCATTTATTTCTTTCTCTTGTGTGATTGCTCTGGCTAGGACTTCCAGTACTATGCTCAATAGGAGTGGTGACAGTGGACATTCTTGTCTTGTTTCAGTTCTCAAGGGGAATGCTTCAAGCTTTTGCCTATTCAGTATTATGTTGGCTGTGGGTTTGTCAGAAATGGCATTTAATATTATTATTGTTTTCTTTTTTTTTTTTTTTTGAGACGGAGTCTTGCTCTGTCACTTAGGCTGGAGTGCCATGGCACAATCTCAGCCCACTGCAACCTCTGCCTCCTGGGTTTAAGCTATTCTGGTGCCTTAGCCTCCCAAGTAGCTGGAATTACAGGTGCCTGCCACCACACCCAGCTAATTTTTGTATTTTTAATAGAGATGAGGTTTCACCATGTTGGCCAGGCTAGTCTCATACCCCTGACCTCAAGTGATCTGCCCGCCTCAGACAGGATACATGTGCACAATGTGCAAGTTTGTTACATAGGTGTACATATGCCATGGTAGTTTGATGCTCCTATTGACTCATCCTCTAAGTTCCCTTCCCTCGCCATCCAACCCTCACACACAGGCCCGGCTGTGTGTTGTTCCCCTCTCTGTGTCCATGTGTTCTCATTGTTCAACTCCCACTTATGAGTAAGAACATGTGGTATTTGATATTCTGTTCCTGTGTTAGTTTGCTGAGGATGATGGCTTCCAGCTGCATCCGTGTCCCTGCAAAGTACATTATCTCATTGGCTGCATGGTACTATGACTGCATAGTATTCCATGGTGCATATGTACCACATATTCTTTATCCAGTCTATTATTGATGGGCATTTCCGTTGGTTCCATGTCTTTGTTATTGTAAACAGTGCTGCAGTAAACATACATGTGCATGTATCTTTATAGTAGAATGGTTTATATTCCTTTGGGTATATACCCAGTAATGGGATTGCTGGGTCAAATGGTATTTTTGATTCTAGATCCTTGAGGAATAGCCATGCTATCTTCCACAATGGTTGAATTAATTCACATTCCCATCAACAGTGTAAAAGTGTTCCTATTTCTCCACAGCCTCGCCAGCATCTATTGTTTCCTGACTTTTTAATAATCACCATTCTCTCTGGCATGAGATGGTATCTCATTGTGGTTTTGATTTTCATTTCTCTGATGATCAGTGATGTTGAGCTTTTTTTCATATGTTTGTTGAGATGGCTTTTATTATTTTGAGGTAAGTTTCTTTGATGCTTAGTTTGTTGAGGGTTTTTAACATGAAGGGATGTGGAATTTTCTTAAGAGTCTTTTCTGTGTCTATTGAGATAATCTTGTGATTTTTGTTTTTAGTTCTGTTTATGTGATGCCTGAAACATATTGATTTGCATATTTTGGACCAACTTTGCAACCCAGGAATAAAGCCTACTTGATTGTTGTGGACTAGCTTTTTGATGTGTTGCTGTATTAGGTTCACTAGTATTTCACTGAGAATTTTTGCATATATGTTTATCAGGGATATTGGCCTGAAGTTTTCTTTATTCATTGTGTTTCTGCCAGATTTTGGCATCAGAATGATGGATGCTGGCTTCATAAAATGAGTTAGAGAAGAGTCCCTCCTCCTCGATTTTTTGGAATTATTTCAATAAGATTGGCACCAGCTCTTCTTACATGTATGGTAAAATTGGACTGTAATTCATTCTGGTCCAGGGCTTTTTCTGGTTGGTAGTGTTTTAGTACTGATTCAGTTTTGGAACTTGTTATTGATCTGTTTAGGATTTCAATTGCTTCCTGATTTAATCTTTGGAGGTGTTATGCTTCCCGGAATTTATGCATTTCTTCTAGATTTTCTAGTTTGTGTGTGTAGAGGTGATAATGATAGTCTCTGAGGGATTATTATGTATCTGTGGGGTGGTGGTAATGTCCCCATTGTCATTTCTGACTGTATTTATTTGAATCTTCTCTCTTTATTATTTATTAGTCTAGCTAGCAGTCTATCAATTTTATTTATTCTGTCAAGGAAGCAACTTGTGATTTTGTTGATCTTTTGTATGTTTCTTTGCATCTCAGTTTCATTCAGTTAAGCTGTAATTTTGGTTATTTTTTCTTCTGCTAGCTCTGGAGTTGGTTTGCTCTTGTTTTTCTAGTTTCTCTAGGTGTGATGTTAGGTTCTTAATTTGAGATCTTTCTAACTTTTTGATGTGGATGTTTAGCACTATAAGCTTTCCTCTTAACACTCCTTTAGCTGTGTCCCAGAGATTCTGGTATATTGTATCTTTGTTTTCATTAGTTTCAAAGAATTTCTTGATTTCTGCCTGTGTTTCATTATTTACCCAAAAGTCATTCAGGAGAAGGTTGTCTAATTGCATGGTTTTGATGGATCATCTTGGTATTGATTTCTACTTTTATTGTACTGTGATTCATGAGTGTACATAGTATAATTTCAGTTTTTTTTTAATTTGTTGAGAATTGCTTTATGGTTGAGTGTGTGGTCGATTTTAGAGTATATGCCATGTGCACATGAGAAGAATATGTATTCTGCTGTTATTGGGTCGAGTGTTCTCTAGATGTCTGCTCAGTCTATTTGGTTAGGTGTCAAGTTTAGGTCCCAAATATCTTTGTTAGCTTTCTGCATCAAAGATCTGTCTAGTACTGTCAGTGGGGTGTTGAAGTCTCCCACTATTGTTGTGTGGTTATCTAAGTCTCTTTGTAGGTCTCTAAGGACTTGTTTTATGAATCTGGGTGCTCCTGTGTTGGGTGCATATATATTTAGGATAGTTGTATTCTTGTTAAATTCAACCCTTTATCTTTATTTAATGTCCTTCTCTGTTCCTTTTGATAATTGTTTATTTAAATTCTGTTTTGTCTGAAGCAAGAATAGCAACCCCTGGTCTTTTTTCTTTTCCATTTGTTTGATAGATATTTCTCCCTCCCTTTTCTTTGAGCCCAGGAGTGTCACTGCATGCAAGATAGGTCTCAGGTAGGCAGCATACAGTTAGGTCTTGCTTCTTTATGCAACTTGCAACTCTTTGCATTTTAAGTGAGGCATTTAGCCTGTTTGCATTCAAGGTTAATATCAATATGTGTAGATTTGATCCTGTCATTGTGTTGTTAGCTGGTTCTTATGTAGGCTTGATTATGTAGCTGCTTTCTAGTGTCAACGGTCTATGTATTTAAGTGTGCTTTTGTAGTATCTGGTACCAGTCTTTATTTCCATGTTTAGCATTCCATTAAGGACCTCTTGGAAGGCAGGTCTGGTGGTAATAAATTCCCTTAGCAATTTTGTCTGAAAAATATTTTATATTTTCTTCACTTATAAAGCTTAGTTTGTCTGTATGTGAAATTCTTGGTTAGAATTTCTTTTCTTTAAGGATGTTGAATACAAGCCCGTAATCTCTTCTGGCTTGTAGGGTTTCTGCTGAAAGGTCCACAGTTAGCCTGATGAGGTTCCCTTTGTTGGTGAACTGCCCCTTCTCTCTAGCTGCCTTTAATATTTTTTCTTTCATATAGACCTTGGAGAATCTGATGACTATGTGTCTTGGGGATGGTTGTCTTATATACTATCTTGCAGGGGTTCTCTGAATTTCCCAAATTTAAATGTTGACCGCTCTAGTGAGGTTGGGGAAATTTTCATAGACAATATCATCAAATATGTTTTCCAAGTTACTTCCTCTCTCTTCCTCTCTTTCAGGAATGCCAGAGAGCTGTAGGTTTGGTGTCTTTACATAATCCTATATTTTCTGCAGATTTTGTTCATTTTTTAAATTCTTTTTTCTTTATTTTTGTCTGACTGGGTTCACTGAAATAACCAGTCTTCAATCTCTGAGATTTTTTCCTAAGCTTGGTCTATTCTGCTATTAATACTTCTGGTTATATTATGAAATTCTTATAGTGAGTTTCCCAGCTCTATCAGATCAATTTGGTTATTTCTTAAAATGGCTATTTCATCTTTCAGCTCTTAAATTATTTTACTGGATTCCTTAGATTCCTTGGACTGAGTTTCAACTTTCTCCTGAATTTCAATGATCTCTGTTGCCGTCCAGATTCTGAACTGTGTATCTGTCATTTCAGTCATTTAAATCTGGTTAAGAACAATTGCTGGAGAGTTAGTGTGGTCATTTAGAGGTCATTTGCCTTTTCAAATGTCCAGAGTTCTTGCACTGATTCCTTCTCAACTGTTTTGGCTGATATTCCTTTAATCTTTGAAGTTGCTGTCCTTTGGATGAGGCTTTTTGCTTTTATATTCTTTGAAGCCCTTGAGAATATGACTGTGATATAAGTTGTGTTTAGTTGACTGGCTTCATTTCTGGATGACTTCAGGGTACCAGGGCTCAGCTCAGCACTCCTGGGCTGGGTGCTATAACCTTGGTAGGTGGGACCATGTGCAAAGCTTTGTTCTCTGGCCACTGCTGCACTGGAGAGGCTGAGATGTTCCTCATATACTGGCAACAACACTCTGATGGGAGGTGGGGCAAAAGCACTTCATCGTGGTGGTGGTGGCAAGGTTTGCACACACGCATGCTTGCAAAGCAGTCAGGGGAGGCTGCAAGTATGTTCACACTGGTAGGGACCCATCTGCAAAAGCTGTCCTATGCCTAGGCAGAATCTGCCAGTGAAGGAGGTATGGCAGTGACCACAGGGAGGCACTCTGGTTGGGCATGTGAGGCTGTGCTGCAAGCAGGTGCAGCCAGGCAGGAACCCTGAGAAAGGCCAGCAGACAGGGATGTGCTCAGATTACACTGGCCCTGTCCCGTGGGTAAGATAGCCCTGTTCTGTTCAGGTTCAACAGTCAACAAAGGCCAGCGCTACCTAGAGGTGCTTGGCGAGCCTTAGGGAATGGATGTCCCTGGCCATACTTCACTGCAACCGTTCCTGCACCAAACCCTTTGGGCTTTGCACAGGCAAGAGTCCTGTCCCTGCCAACTCCCCAAACAGCTCTGCCTACTAGCTCAAATGTCTATGGGGGTTGTGGGGTGTCCTACAGGTAGGTCCATAGTAAGAATGGGCCATTGCACTCCTATTTAACTCACCTCTTCCCCAGGAGCTACTCAGGGCCTGAAGTGAGTCCTGGTGCTCAGCAACCCCGTTCAGGCTTCCCAGAATCCTCCCTCTAGCCCAGGCTCCACATCCTACCTCCATTCACTCTCAATGCCTTTCTTCTGAAGATCTGCTCAGAGTGTTCCAATCTTCTTGATGGTCTTGTCTCTTAATGGGAGAAACTCTTCCTGGCTGTATCCAGTTGACCATCTTGAGCCCCTGTCTCTGGTTGTTTACTAGCGAATAACTCTGGTAATTTACCTACCCTCTCTGAACCTCTGAAAAAAATAGGGATAATAATATTTACCTTGCAAGGTCCTTGTAAGAATTAGAAATAATGATATGGCATATGGCAAGAACCCAATAAGCAGCCTGTGAGAACAGCAATAAGCAATATCCAGTGTGGTTAAATGGAAGTGGCAGGTGCTTCATGAGTAGACACTATTTTTGTTAGTTCATTTGCAGCATGGAACTGATTATGAGGATTATTTTTGTACCTGATGGAAGTGCATCATGTTCTGATCAGAGTTTCCCCAATCAAAAGCTTGGAGCTGACCAGAATTAACAGCCTAAAATAAAATAAGCACGTTAAAATAATATAAGAAAATAGTGTACATTTAAAGACAGTACAGAAGAAATATACAAAGAAGATTAACATTATGCCCCAGTCTTTAGAAACATAAGCTAAATTTCAATAAAGATTAAGAAAATAAGTAATAAAAATGATAAATCTTATCGTAATTCACAGAATTGGTACAATCTTTTACTCATTCCTGTATCTTTCCAGTGAAAATCCTCAGATTTTTCATTTAAATCCAATGCCTTTAAATGTTACCATGTTACACACAGAAATATTTTTTAAAGATGCGGAATTGAATGATTCTTGAATATCTTTGCTTCAGGAATTTTAATAATTTTTTTAAAAAGGCATTAGCTATACATTTCTTACATTTAAAAATTACTGCTATTGTTATTATACAACTTTGTACCTTATCCTCATGATGTGGTCTAAACTGTTATGATTATATTCCCTATCCTTAAACTTTTTTTTTTTACTATTAAAAGAAATATTCACCCACTGAGCTTCCGCAGTTCTGTGTAAGGTACATGGCTGCTCTCTGCCTCCCATATGTGGAGTCAAGCCACCTGCTGTGATGTGCATAATGTAGCCATGGGCTGACTGAGACACTGTGCATGACTACTTTTGCATTTTGGTATTGAAACTTCAAATATTAGAATATAAGGTCATGCATATATGCAGCACTTCATTTTTCTGTTATTTGCCACCCATATAGGATTGATGAGGCAGATAATTTTGACATTTATGTCAAGCACTTCATTAAATTATTCTCAGACTATTCTGTGTTTTTCTTTCTTAGCTTGAATCTCAGATATTTTTCCCACTTACCAATTTAGTCCTGATTTTTAGTTTAAAATTATTCTCATCATGATTTATATTCAGAGAGGCAGCAGTCTGCTGCTGTTGAAATTCTGCAAGCTTTTAGAAATGAGAGGCAATAGGACGTACTACTTAGGAACTTGGGCTCTAGGATCAAATCTGATGATTTGGTTTGGCTCTGTGTCCCCACCCAAATCTCATCTCTAATTGTAACCACACTTGTCAGGTGAGGGGCCTGGTGGGAGGAGACTGAATCATGGGGGCGGACTTCCCCTTTGCTGTTCTCCTGATAGTGAGTGAGTTCTCACAAGATCTGGTTGTTTGAAAGTGTGTGGCACTTCCCACTTTGTGCTCTCTCTCTCCTGCTCCACCGTGGTAAGACGTGCTTGCTTCCCCTTCACTTTCCACGGTGATTGATTGTAAGTTTCTTGAGGCCTCCTAGCCATGCTTCCTGTACAGCCTGTGGAGCTGTGAGTCTGTTAAAACACTTGTCTTCATAAATTATCCAGTCTCAGGTAGCTCTTTATAGTAGTGTGAAAGACACTAATATACCTTGATTGTATCCAGGCTTAATAGACTACTGAATCTGTGATTCAAGGCAAGATATTTGTGAAATGAGAATGATAGTAACATTCTTTCTTAGGATTGTGAAGATTATGTTAACACCTATAAAGCATGTAGCACCTAATAATACCCAACAAACAGCTTTTTTTCACTAGTATTACTCCCATCATCATGATCATCACTCTTGCCTTAGCTGCCTATGTAACTTATAACCAAATATTCACCATGCCCCCCACCATCCCCACTTATTTCTATCCTGAAGAGGACTCTCTGTCAAAGGGGAAAAGTTTTTCTTAAGAGAAGTCAATTGTAAAATGTATAAGGAACAGGCAGCCATGCGCAGTGCTCACGCCTGTAATCCCAGCACTCTGGTAGGCTGAGGTGGGAGGATTGCTTGAGTCCAGCAGTCCAAGACCAGCCTAGGCAACAAAACAAGACCTCATCTTTGTAAAAAGAAACAAACGTTATCTGGGCATGGTGGTGCATGCCTGTGGTGCCAGCTACTCAGGAAGCTGAGATGGGAGGATTGCTTAAACCCAGGATGTCAAGGCTACAGTGAGCCATGATTCTACCACTGTACTTCAGCCTGGGTAACGTGATTGTACCACTGCACGCTTTTTTTTGAGACCCTGTCTTAAAAAATAAATAAATAAAAGAATATGCTATGACATTTGTAGAGTGGGGGGATATCAATGCCTTTACTAAAAAATTGTTATAATAATTCAGTGAGACTGAATAAAATCATATGTATGAGCAGCAAGAAGAGCATATATTAAGTGCTCAATAACTGTGAAGTTAAATGTGTAGTACCTGGAAGGCCATGCTCATAAGAGGACCTATCTGTCTCCTCGTCAGTAGGAAGCCCTATATCCTGAACATCTTTCTTCGTAGAGGAACTTGAAGCCTTATCTCCTGGGATCAAACTCTTCCAAGTATTTTGGAAATCCTCACCAAGTATTTCAGGCTATCTATAGTAGCGATTCTCTAAAACAGGGAGCAAATTTAGTAGGATATATATTAAAATGCAAATTCCTGGTTGGGGGGGGGTCTCAGATATATTAAACCTTTAAGAAGACACCACCACTTTCCCCGTCATAGAATTATGTATATTTTGTTCACTTTTCAAAAGGCGTTGTGACTGAGCCACCAGCCAAGAATATAGGCAAATATTACATAATAAACAAATGAATGTGCATGCACGTGTGTGCGCATGCACACACAAAGACACACACACACACAAGGCTCAGAAAGCCACACCAACTGGATTAGACTTATCTCTGAGCTTTCTGTATATTGAGTAATAAAATAAAACAAATAAAACTTTAGCTGAAGGTAAAAACATAAGCCATAAATCCATTTTAATTCTTCCCTAGCATTCAATCTTCTCTGAATAAAGCATCATTTCCACATTCTGAAATGCCCCATATATTGATTGGAGGATGAACAGCTCTTTCTGGAATAAGATGCATCATTTTATATAAAGTTCTATTAGAGCTGATGACTTTCTGAAAGAGGAAATAAAAGTCTTCCCTTAAAATGTAGTTTGGAATCATCTAAGGATCAGAACCCAGTCAGAATATCTGAGAACCATGCTCAAAACCCAGACACTGAGGACAAGGAGAAGAAATGGGAATGAAGTAAATAAAAATGAAGAGTTGATGCTGATTCCAAAAACATCAATGTGGCAGTGGCAGGTGCCAGCAGAACCCTGCAGTGAGCTCTCTGAGAGCACTTCTTGAGGGTCTTGCAGAGATATGTGTGCATCAAGCAGGAATAAGAAGCACTTACCTGAGCCCAGTGCAGCATATTCTGAACAGATGTTCCCGCAGGATTGTGTGACAAATAAACATCCAAGCGACTCTGCAAAGAGATTACTTCTCATCTAGAGGCTAATCATATCATCATACCACAAGTAAACATTTGAGAGAAATTTAAAAAGTTTCTTCTTTTCCTCTTTTCCCTTTCTTTCTTTTTTTTATTTTTATTTTTATTTTTATTTTTGAGTTGGAGTCTCGCTCTGTCACCCAGGCTGGAGTGCAGTGGTGCAATCTCAGCTCACTGCAGGCTCCACCTCCTGGGTTCCATTCTCCTGCCTTAGCCTCCCGAGTAGCTAGGACTACAGGTGCGCACCACCACGCCTGGCTAATTTTGTGTTTGTACTTTTAGTAGAGACAGGGTTTCACTGTGTCAGCCAGGATGGTCTCGCTCTCCTGACCTCGTGATCCGCCTGCCTCAGCTTCCCAAAGTGCTGGGATTACAGGTGTGAGCCACTGCACCTGGCGTCTTTTCCCTTTCTTTAAGGAAAAAACATGTACCATATAATCTGAAGACATATTAACCAAAAAAGCCCATCTTTGAAGAATTTTTCCTCCACCAGCTCTGTCCTGTCCTCAGCAGTGTCTTCAGAAAGCCTACAGAGGGCATCCCACGGGGCAAAGACAAAAGGAAATCTATCTTTTTCCAGACTCAACTCCCATAGGTTCAAGGGTATAGGGGATTAAAGAATAAAAACCCCAGTGATCTTCTCCTTCACCCCGTGTTAAGTCCCAAAGGACATTCAAAGAGAGCTGTTGGCCCTAAGACACTAAGAATAGATCTGTATGTTGACGTTCGTTTTCTGAATTTTAAAATGTGATGAGTATTCTACAGGACTCTGAAATTTTGTGTAACAGAATTAATTCAGTCGGTATATTTAGATATCTTATGGATAAACAACCACAAACACACACAAGAACAAAAACAAAAACAAAACACACACAAAAACTCTTGATTCTCTCATATTTTCAATTGCACTATTTTTTAAATTAAAAGAGTTATTTTCCACCAAAGTAAGCATCAGAAACATCTTAGGGCTTTAAAAATATTTTAACCTACTTATAAGCTATCCAAATGTACTGAATAAAAATCAAAATCTCAAAGGTTGAGTTCTGGACATGTGTATTTTTTCAAAGTTCCACCAATATTACTTATGTACCCCTGGCTATGGTTCTTTGAAACAAATGTCCTTGAAGGTGCTGTAATATTCTGTAAGTTTTGCTTTTTGGCAGAAAGACAAAAGGTGATCTGACAAAAGGTGTCCATATGGACAACAAGGGCCAATGAATACTCAAGGGTGTTATTTTGTGATGTCTTTCTTTAGCAAACTCTTAGGCTATGCTGAGAGGGTGCTTTTAAAATACACTCTTTTTTATTTGCTTCAAGGTCTTTTTACTCAGCTCTGCCTGCATGATATGCTCTCACCTACATATATCCTTGCATCTAAGTGATAGGAAGCATAGTTTCCATTGTACACTGAGAAAGTGAGAGAGGAACATAGAAAGGCAATGGCTAAGACATGTTTTGCATAAAAAGCCTTTTATAAATCTTGCCTGAAAGCAAGAAAAATTTTAATCAGTGCTTTCTACTGACTGGGAGAGTAGGCTCTGGGCAGAAGTTTGTGAGAGAGGTGGAGACCAACTTCAGCCTTATCCTACTTCTGGTTTCAAACACAACTCCTCTCTTTCCCTCCTCCCTTCCCCAACTCCTTGGGTCATCATGGAAAGGATCTCAGTTAAATTAGAAATTACTTGACAAGAACCCTGACACTGATCCCTCTCGGTACCCCTTGAACAATAAATTTGTAGCTGTTGTTGAAGAACCATGCCTCCTTTTATCCTTTTGGGTTAAGGAAGTAAGTTGTTCACAAAATAACTTTCCAAATCAACTGTGAAAGTGGAAAATTGGTAAACAAATAAAAATGCAAATGTCTGGACTCACCCCCTGAGATTCTACTTCAGTGGGTCTGACATAAGGCGTAGGCACAGCAAGATAAATATCAAAACCATAGCCTTTATCTAAGCGAAGGACGTTTCGGGTAAGAAGAGATGAGAATTGTTGGCAGAAAAGCTTTCTTCTCAAATCCTCCTATGAAAGCAAGTGGACTCTCAACCCTCATTGGAAGCCATAAATGTACTAATTACATTCCAAATGCAAAAAGGAAACCTTGAATTGCAGTTGCCATACAATCCAGGATAACTTTCATCACTTCTGTGCAACAAAACAAATGTTTTCCCAGACCCAATTACTTACACCTACCATATTTAAGTTTTGCGGATCAAATCCACTCAGAGTAAATAGGAAGTTGCTGCAAATACGACGGAATAGCTTTCGATTGCACACTTTGGTGGCAATGAATTGGTCAAACAATGTATGAGGGTGGAACATTTTGTCACCAAACAACACCTACAAGATAATTTAAAACACCATCAAATCTTACAGGCGTGGATATCAAAAGTGGAGAAAGAGATAGTTCAAAGAAGGACTGCACAGTATTAGGTGACATCTGCTCAGTGTTGGTCCTTAGTGAAATCATGAGGCTTGTTATTAGCTTTGTAATCCTTCCAATGCACCTCTTAATGGCTTTTCCCAAAAATCTTTAATTGGGGTGGTTTTTAGAATGCCCCTTGAGAAACTAGTTCCCACAGGAAATTAGTAAGACTTTGGAGTGAGGCATACATGTGTTTCATTCTGGATTCAAACACGTTCTATACCTTAGGAGAGTTTTAAATTTCTATTATTATGAATTTTCTCATCTATAAAATGGAAAAATTTTCTACTGGGTAGGGCTGTTGTGAAGTTAGTAGGTCATGTTTAAAAGACAATTAGTGCAGTTCCTAGCATCTAGCGCACATGCAAAGTATTATTTAATTAAAGTATAAATTAATGTAATTATTATTACTATCATAATTAGTGACTAATACAGACTTGAGCCATTCCTTCCAGAATCCTTCAATGAATTCTATGACAAAAGCTTAACCCACATAAATGAATCTTTACTAGTGTAATTTCAGGCAGTGTTGCAAGTGAGTTTCTTTGCTTCACAGCTACTAGTTTTATAATCTTGGCATAATAAACTAGATATAAAGGTAAAAAGACATTTTTTAGTTCTTAAAACTTTGGAAACACCTATTTACAGTAAAAATAAACACACATTTCTTCTAGAATTCTTTATTAACCAGAAATTACAACTAAAGAACAGTAATAACTAGCATTTATTCATTTAAGATCTAATTCACTTTAAGATCTTTACTCCGTATTTGGAAAAGCCAACTCCAGGTTTCAGAACAGAGAACCAAGAATCCATTATGGTAGATGTCACCTGTTTCTTAACACCGTATTTTAATTGTTGATTATTTTATGAAGTGGCTATTTTCTTTCACATGGATTTGTTTTGCCAAGCATGGATTGATAAATAAAGCAAGTTATTGATAAATAAAAAATAAATTTGTTTACCGGTTAAAGTCAGATCCTGCCTTTTACTTTAATTATTTATTTGTGTGACAATCTATTTAAATTGTCACACTTGAAAACATGAAGTAAATGTCAACATAATTTTAAAAGAGAAGCTCATTTTATGAGTGTATGCTGCTACTATTATTAAATTATTATGGGGACATTTACACTGGAAGAATTACAATTTGGCAAGTTTAATTATCTAGGGTATTATCTAAGTGTCCTAGTGATTGAGATAAAATGAAGAGTCTGGAATCAATCAGATAATATGTACAAGGCTTATTATTACTTTCCAGACCTAAAGAATTGAGAAGTATGGTTTGAACTAGTTTAACATATTGTTGTCCTTCCTTTCCCTTCCCTTTTTCTTCTTCCTCCTCTTCTTCCTCCTCCTCTTCCTTCTGTCTTCTCTCCCTCTCCCTCTCCCTCCTTCCCTTCCTTTTTCCCTGGCTCCATCCCTCTCTTCCTCTCTTGGACAGGAAGAGGAGTATGAAATCTTGGTACTTCTTTTATTCCATTAATATTCCATGGAATATCAAATATTCCATTAAATAAAGATTATATCTGACTATACAAGATAATCTCTGTTCTGAAACCTGGAGTTAGCTTTCCCAAATACGGAGTAAATTAGCAGGACATTCTCTGACTCCATTCTACCTCAATATCCTGTGACTCAGCAAAATTACTATGCATTTACTCAAAGGTGAATAATTTCTCCTTTACCCTAAGCTAAAAGAGAGGATATTAATGCAGGCCAGCCAGCAGTATAGCACCCATATACAGAGTAGCAAACATGCCAACTTGTAGATATAATTCCAAGTTGGCTCTGGAGGAGGCATATTTGTCACATAACAGCAGGGAGCCAGGCTCCTTCTAGTAGCTCTTTTGGTATGTGTGAGAATTAGAAAAGGCACCCCTCTTTCTGGCAACATGGCCCCATGCCAGGGCATATGGCTTGCCAAAGCAGAACATGGGCTGGTTTCAGTCCTCAACAACCCACTGAGCTGGTCACCCTTGTTCACTAACTTCTTCAGGTTGGCATTGAAAAAGTGGAAAAAGACTTTTTTTTCCACCTATAAAAAAGACTGTTGACCATGGGTTGCCTGGTCAGATCTGGGTTCAAATTCTCGCTCTGCCGTCCATTAGCTGGGTGACTCGGGACAGGCTGCTTAGGTTCTCTGAGCCTCAAGTTCTTCTTTTAAGAAATGGAGACAGTACTAACAATCTTTAATGTTGTAGAGACACGTCAAAAGCAAAGGATCAAAGCAATCTATAGGTCAGAAAGAAAGTAGAATGACAAGAACACAAACGCATAAATGTCCAGGGGCAAAATGGGAGGTGAGGAAGGGGGAATGGATGAATGAATTTCTCAACTTGACGAACTCTACTCATTCTATCAATGTGAAAATTGAGGCTTAGCATGGTTAAATAACTTGTCCAAGGTTACAATAGGCAGGAGGCAGGGGCAGAATGTGAACCCAGTTCTGTCTGACTTAAGTCTTTATGCTTTATACTCAATTCAGTTCAACTCTCATGAACTGAGTTGAATGTAATAGAAATGGAGCAATTGAAAGAACTGGCAGCATCAATGAAAAGGAAGTGCTAATCAGAGAGAGAAAAAAGGTTGTCTCAGTCCAGAAGCTCCCATAAAAAAGGAAGCCTTTCACCAAGCATGCCTGCGAGCATCTGGCTGATGGGAGAGGAGAGGAGAAAGAAAGCCCGTTCCTCAAAAAGTCAAAAATATACCTAAACGTTGTCTATCATTTCATTGTCATATCTTACAGATTATTTTTTGTTGCACAACTCTTGTTCCAATCCCCAATATCTATCAGCTGATGTGTTAACAATAACCCCATAATCATTCTTCTCATCAGTGCACAACTCTTGTCCAATCCCCAACATCTATCAACTGATGTGTTAACAATAACTCCATAATGATTCTCCTAATCTTTCACCCTTCTTGATGTCCTTTACCCTCATCTGCTTACATTTGGTTCCCAGGGGAATCTTTCTAAAAAGGGGCATTATGCGTGTCATTCCCCTGTGCAAATATTTCCATGCTCCCCAATTACTTATATAATACATTCCAAATTCATTAATTTGGCGCTCAAATCCCTTTATCATCTGCCTCTACATTTCCAACATGATTTCTCATACTCTCCTTCACAAATACTAATATAAATCTCCAGTAAAGTGAGTTATGTGTGGTTCTCCATGGCCTGAGCTTCACCACTTCAATGTTGCTCATGTTTCTCTCTTGTTTCAGAAAGCCTTTCTATACCACACTCTATAATGAAATCATATCCTTAAGCCCAAACTAAAATGCCATCTTATCCAAAAAGTATTTTGTGATTCCAACAGCTAGCAGTATTTTTCTTTTCTCTGAGTTTGCCTAGCAATGTTTTTACTCTGTCATTATAATACTGGAATTTCTACTAGGAATTAGTAGGTCATATGTGGCAGTTCTTCTATTGGTACTATAGTTCCTCTATTGGAGTTATAATTTAGAAAGGGCAATCATTCTAAAGTTATAGATTTGATCAAGCCACTTTTCTATTTAATATTCTTCAATGGCCTCCCTTCATTAACAGAACAAAGTCTAAACTCCTAGACATGACACCACTTCCTTCCATTGCCCCCTAATACCTCCTTAGTTGAATCCCATTCTACTCTCACATACACCCTAGTTTTTACTCATACCAACAAGCTGGAAAGTTTCCTTGTAGACATAGCTGTTTCCTAATGCCAGGGCCTTGAAGTAGTAGCTCCTAGATATCTTTTGGCTGAATTAACTTGAATTGCACCACGTCCTACACACGTCAGGGTATGCAGAAGTTTGAAGAGAGCTGTGCAAATGAAGAGGAATGGAAAGATCTCACCATCCCAAAATATCTCTTAATTGTGTGGGAATACTGAAATAATTAAGCAAAAAGTCTGACATTGTTTACTTAATAGTAGGAGCAGGCCAGAGTGAAATCTCAATGGTATAAGAGGCCCAAGTACCAACAGGCAATGTAAGCATGTTTTGTTATTTTCAGGTGGTTTTTCTGCTACCTGTCTTTCTGGGATGTATAGATATGAACTTCAATCACCATAGGCTAATTTGCTTAGCTCTCAACAATGAGAATCTTCGGTAAATCTTCAGGCTTCTGTCAGAATTGTTTCACTTTCATCTGCTCTCATTGAAATCACTGAACCGTGCAATCACCACCATGGGAGTTATTACCATGGGAGAAGCCCATGTTAAAATACAAGAAGAAAACACACCAACCCATGCAATGCAATTTACCTGGACTAGATAAATGATCAGATTAGTTAGCTGTCAACTAGAGGAGATTAGGAGGCCTAGAGTTTTGCCTGGGTTTTGGGAATTGTCAAAATGACAGCCTGTAAAGTGTCAGGAAATGAAACAAGGTTGGGCATTTAGTGATGGAGGAGGGTACATTCTATAAAACTAATGATAACAAAAACAATTGTTAACATTTATTAAAGGTTTACAATATGCAATACATTGTTTTAGAGGATATGCTGTATTAATTTACTTAGTCCTCAGGGTAGCCCTATGAGTAAGAACTATTATTATCCCCACATTACAGATGAAGAGAACTTAAGGTCTTGACCAAATTTACCCAGCTTGCAAATCATAGAAATAACATTCAAACACACACCATCTGATTCCATGCTGTGAACTCAACCACCACTGCCCCTAAAAAATTAGGGATCACTAGAAAAATTCAATCTACTAAATTCAACAAACCAATCAATCAAATAAGTTCTCTCTATCTGTGGTTGAGGAATGGCGCAGCAGACACGTTTCTAGACATAGATGAAGAAAGTAGGGCAGATTAGCAACAGGGGGAGTTCCCTGAACTCTGCTAATAAGATTGCATACATCATCAGTGAACTTACATGGATATCTTGAATACCTATTATTTTCTCAGAAGTTTGTAAAATGTCATTGGTCTTCTGTTGAAATCAATGGAAATAGAGCTACTTTTAGTTATTTCAGATTAAAACTTGGGAAGTCACATACCTTAACTACTCGCCTGGAAAGGGTTGTTAGTTTTTTCATAGGACTTTGGGTGTATTTAACTGTGACAACTGGAGCCAGTGCAAAAAATATCTTAATCTTTTTAGCCAGTTCTGGGTTTGTAGAAAATGCTATAAAAGCTGAAATGGAAGAAGACAGTAGTTCATAGTTTTCAGATAATTATTTGTTCATTTTAAGTTGTAGTAAATGTAGCCATATGGAAGAAGAGCCCCTGACATTCTCTGATCACATCTGCCCCAAACACACCTATGGTGGTGCCTTGTGAGTGGCCCACGTAGTAGAGTCGCTTCTGTCCAGTTTTCTCTATGATAAAATTGATTGTGGCTGGAAGGTCATATTTAGCCATCTCATCCAAACTATCAAAAAGAAGGAATAACAAATTAGAAAAGTCATCTCATTGTTAGGCCTAGAACATTTAAACACGTTCAGTGAAGACATAAATACTTTGATTTTGTTAAATATAAGACTAGTGTCGATATATGATATTAGGCAACTATGCAACTTTTAAGGGTGTCACCTTGATTGCAAGTCAACATTTTTAAGAAACTGAAATCAGAAAAATTTGATTTGTCGAGGCCTACTGATGCTTTTCTTGCAAGGCTAGTCGTATTCACTTAATTCTATAACAGATTTACCAAGCTCCTCTGAAAAGAGCAATTACCTGGAATGCTTATCTAAAGGAGAGAATAATAAAGCAAACAGATTTGCAGACCTCAGCCCAGACTGACTGAATCAGAATTTCCTGGGAAGAGACCCAGTAATCTGCATATTTAACAATGACCTCAGTTACTTCTGATCCTATGTATAGTTTAAGAAATACTTACCTAGGGAATTTTCTAGTCATTTGCAAGGGTGCAATGGACTATGGCATAGAATTAGGAAATCCCAGTGGTTTCCAGAAAGAAGGCAGGCAACGAGGCCAAGGAACACAGGATTTTCATGACCTCCAAGGCATGGTTCTTAGCTCCTATGCCAGTGCATCAGTTTGCTCCTGTGACCGGGTAGGCGTGGCTTCTGAAGTAGACAGCACCCTCAGGCGCTGCTGCTGGCAGCACTGTTGCTTAGCTATTCTGTAATCAGGCTTTCTTCTTACTTCCCCCAGAACATACACACACACACTCACTCACACGCAGACACCAGGACGGAGGCAGGAGTTCTAAAACAGCCATGCAATAATAATGGCAGTTCTTTAGAGCCTGTGAAGAAAGTTTGGGTAGAGAAAGAAAGGTTTGTTTCCTTCTTGTGGATTCCATTGGGTGCATTTGGACACAAAACAGGAAAAAAATCACTAGGTGTTCATACATATGCATGAGGAAAGTACACATTTTATTCATTAATAGGTTTCTCTTTACCTGAAGGCCCAGTATTCCGGTGATTTCGGTGACAATTTAAGGTGTTTTCTGGACCAAGTGTTTCCTCGGCTGTTCCCCAACCACACGTCATAACCACTATCTGCCAGAAGGAAAGCCAAACTGTTGTTGGGCAGGTTGCAAATCCAGTTACTGGCAGATGCAATTAAGCCATGCTGCAAATACACAGCAGGCTTTGGAGCTGCAAAACACAGGCAACAAGAATTTCATATTTGAACTTTCTCAGTGTCTACAAGAAAAATCTCATTCCTGAATTTCTGTAGTATAAAAGAAAGGTTAAGAGATAAAATTTGATGCCAGGCAAACCTGGGATCTAGTCCCTTCTGAGCTACTTACTTGGGTAAGTTATTTAAGTTCTCTGTCTTGTTTTCTCATTTGTAAGGGATTATATACAATGTATTGTATTATGTAAGTGTGGAAGTTAGTTTGCCCTAGTTCAAAATCCCTTCGATACGCATGAACTCCTTTGTGCCTCAGTTAACCTATCTGTATAATGGGAAATAATAATAAATGCTATCTCCTAGGGTATTTATAAGAATTCGATGAGAACTAAAACATGTAAAAGGCTGTCTGGTTGCCAGGCGCGGTGGCTCACGCCTATAATCTCAGCACTTTGGGAGCTGAGGCGGGCAGATCACGAGGTCAGGAGATCGAGGCCATCCTGGCTAACACAGTGAAACCCCATCTCTACTAAAAAATACAAAAAAACTAGCCGGGCATGGTGGCGGGCGTTGTAGTCCCAGCTACTCGGGAGGCTGAGGCAGGAAAATGGCGTGAACCCGGGAGGCGGAGCTTGCAGTGAGCCGAGATCGCCACACTGCACTCCAGCCTGGGCGACAGAGCAAGACTCCGTCTCAAAACAAAATAAAACAAAACAAAAAAAAGCTGTCTGGCACAGTAAATATATATTAGCTCTATTACTGTTACTTATATTAATAGCATTATATTTTTCAAGATTCATCTGATTAAAAACTTAAATTTTTTTCAAAATAATAAAAACAATAATTAAAATGCCATTTGTTGAATGCTCATTGAATGTCAAGCACTATGCTAAGTTTTATAGGCACTGCTTCATTTCATTTGAATTGTTAGAAAGCAAAAAACAAGGTTGTAAGTAGAAATTTACAGTTTAAAATTGTTAATATGATACAAAAATCCTATTCCCAATGTAAAATAGGAACATTTCAACTAAAAAAGAGAAAGGAAAAAGAAAGAAGTGAGAAAGTGTGGAAAAAGAGAGAAGAGAGGGAAGAAGTGACTAGACTTTTCCTGTGCTTTATAAGTGGTTTGTGATGCTGTGTTGTTATCTCAGGACTCTACCTCAGGTCACTTTTGGAACTAGAGTGGCTTCCTGAGAGTGAGTAAGTTGTACTCTCAGAGAGCCTTCAGCCATCGGGACCAAGGAACTAAGAGTCTATGTCCATTTTTCCACCATTTGGAATAGAGGGAAAGAAGAGGTGTTACTAACTCTGCCAAAGTTAAGTACCATTAAATAGTCAAGTACCATCAGGCCTCTTTGATCTGAGTCTGAGACAAATCACAGGGATCTCAGATTAGAAAAAGAGTTTCTCATTGTACAGCTTTTTGTCTCATGAATTTTGGCAGCTACGTGATAGAAATGACAAGAGAAAAGTTTGGAGAGACTTAAAAGTTCTCTTGAGTATTTACAAAGTTATTTGTAATTATGGAGTTATTTTGGGAAATAATTGGCTCTGTAAAGCCAGCAACACCATTATATCTTCCTCTCTTTTTAGAAATCTAGAGTTTTTCTTTAAATAAATAGTCTTTCTGATATTGAGAAGTTTTGTTATTCGACATGTCAAAGTATAAAATGAACTAAGAAGAGAGAGAAGAAAGCAAGAGCAAATAGTTTCTGGGAAATGAATTGCTCTTCCCCCGCCCCCCCCCCCCAACAGATAGCCACCTGCATTGCGGGGAGCTAGAATTGGCTCTTTAATGAAGTTTAAGCACAGAACTGATAGGAACTAATAGGGTCTTTTTTGCAGAGATTCCTGAGGATACCTGAGGCTCTGTTTCAGAAAAAAAAAATAGACTTGTTTTTTCAGCTGGAGGCAAGGGCAAGAGGTGTACCCTAGGCAGCAAACTATCCCTGTAGGGTGGGCTGAGAACTAGGGCTGAGCGTCAGATGGGTCTCCAGTTGCCCATGCTCCCCTGCACAGCTGCCTCCCCAGCAGGATGTGGGACAGCCACAGGAAGGGTAAGCTAAGAAGTGCTGCCGTGGACATTCACTTGGGCAGGACATCAGAGGACTCGGATACCAGCTTCCCATTGCAGGGGTCAATCTTCTTCACAACTATGGCCCTGCAGGAGCTGGTGCGGCTGAAAGAGCCGGAGTCCCCGCCACAGTCAAAGCTGGACTGGAAGAAGTCCAGGCCATAGCTGAGGGCAGAGCTTGTGAGGCCGAGCCCAGCCCACCTGGGTAGCCACTGCTTGTCTTCCTATGCATACACCTGCTCTGCGTCCCAGACTCCAGCGGGCTCTCCTCGCCCTCCAGCAGCTTCCTGTAGGTGGCGCTCTCGATGCCCAAGGCCAGCTTGACATTCATCAGCTCCAGGTTCCGGTGAAGCTACGGCGCCCTCTCCTGTTTGGTCCGCTATAGGGCGGCCTCCAGCTCTGCAGGCTCAGCGTTGAGTCCTTAATGGCGGACTCCCCACGCTGCTCTGCGTTCTCTGGCCTTTGAGGCCTTCAGTCTCATGGTGGAGCCGGCTGATGTTTCGGTTCACCTGGAAGATCCTCTTCCTGCGACACAGCTCATTCTCAGCCTTCCCAGCCAAGGCCTGCAGCACCTCATACTCGACCTGGTGGTGCATGCTCTCGGCCTTGGCCCAGCTGCGGCTGGCGATCTCCTGGTACTGGGCGGAGACGTCGAGATGATGCCATCCATGTCCAGGACTCGGCTGTTGTCCAAGGATAGGACCAGAGATGTGGCCGAGATCTGGGACTGCAGCTCACGGATCTTCTCTTCTCCTGGGGCAGCCCTTTTAGGCGAGACTACTTATTCTACGTTGTTCATGTAAGCTTTAACCACATCCTTCTTGATGAGGAAAATTCATTCTCCATCTCTATATGCTTGTTGATCTCATCCTGGTACTTACTCTTGAAGTCCTCCACCAGCCCCTGCATGTTGTCAAGCTCCACCTCCACCTTCAGCTTCTGGTCCCATGTGTCCAGCTGCCGCAGAAAGTTGTTGATGCAGCTCTCCATGTTGTCCACGTTCTCCCAGCTGTCTTCTGCTGCTGCAGGCTCCACATGGTCTCCAGCATCTTGTTCTGCTGCTCCAGGAACCACACTTTGTCAATGAAGGAGGCAAACTTGTTCAGGGTCTTGATCTGCTTCTTCTCCTGGGTGTTCACAGCATGGATGTTGGGATCCACCTCCACTTTTAGGGAGCTCAGCAGACTCTGGGTCACAGTGAAAATTGTGATGCCTCCCATATCACCAGCCCCAGCATAGACCTCACCCAGACCCATGCTGGTGCCCAGGCCACCCAGAAAGCTGCTACCTACCTGGAAGAAGCTTGAGGTTCTGATACAAGCACTGGGTATGCTCCTGTACCAACAGCTGCTGAAGGCGGAGTTCTGGGTCACCCTGATGGACATGGTGGAGGCTGGAGTGAAGGTAGGTAGGCTAAACTAGATGGTGATTTGACAAGCTGAGATGCTGTTGCTAGGTGGGAGCTAATAGGGTAATATTTACTTTAAACCATGAAATCACACAGACTTGGGTCCAGAACTGACTACAAATAGTTTAATACCAGTGAGGAGGCATTGTAGTAGTTGAAGACATTATATCCAAACCTGGATTTGAAAGATTATTGAAGCTGAAAGTTGTCAGATTAGGGAGAAATTTAGAAGGCAAAATTGATAGATGGCGATGATAGGTTGCATGTAGAAGGTGAGGGAGAGTTGGTATCAAGAATAACCCCTAGATTTCTGATTTTCAAAACGGGACAGAGGTATCACTAGGGTAAGAACACGATGTGTTTTTGTGTTTGCTTGGTAGGAAGACAAAGTCATGAAGAAAAGGAGTGACCAGATAAACAGTGTATGTAAAAGTGACTTAAAACTTCAAAGTTACACAAATTAAACAGAGAGATGGGGGGCGATAATTTTTCTCCTTTAATGGAAAGGACTGTTAAGAATTTCAGAACAAAAACTGCTTGACTTCTCCCAGGACATCTAAGTACCTCTGCTTTAAGTATTTTTCCTTTCATAACAAAATAAATAATACCTGTCCTCCCTGGGCATCCTCTTCCATGTGGAATCCTATAAATTCCAAGGATATAACCATCTTTTGTTGTAACATCATACTCTTCATAAGGATAACCCCAGTAAGAAATAATCTGGCTCTAAAAAGAGGAAAGGAAATATATACCTTCATGTTATAATCTCTTAATTTTTACACATGAATTACAACATAGTACTTTATTTGTCTGTTTGTTTGTTTGTTTGAGACGGGTCTCACTGTGTTCCCTGGGCTGGAGTGCAGTGGTGTGATCTTGGCTCACTGCAGCCTTCGCCTCCTCGGCTCAAGCTATCCTCCCACCTCAGTCTTCCAAGTAGCTGGAACTAAAGGCACCTGTCCCAATGGCCAGCTACATTTTTTGTATGTTTTTGTAGAGATGGGGTTTCACCATGTTGCCCAGGCTGGTCTTAAACTCCTCAGCTCAAGGCATTCGTTCCCCTGCCTTAGCCTCCCAAAGTGCTAGGATTATAGGTGTGAGCCTCCCTGCCTGGCCACAATGTAGTACTTTAAATTGCACCTACTGTTTATCACTCTATGTGCCGTGACGGCATGTAATATTCCTATGAGGATAATTTAAGAGGGATTTCTAGGAGTTACATAAAGAGGCATAGGTAAGTCTGGGTGGGGTGACCCTACATTCTTGTTTGCTCAGGACACTCTGGTTTTGCCTGCTGGCCTGGTATTATTAAAGCACCCTAGTTTGCTTTGATGAAAATTATATGGTCATCTAATGAGGGAAACCACAGGGAATTGTGGAGTACCCTGTGGCTAATAACAAGTGATCTATTACCAAACAGACTTGAAAGAAGAGGGGAGGAAGCAGTTACTGGAAGCCCGAAGGAGAAAGTTAAGCTGAGATAACCAAATTGAGGAAGACAGCTTGTCTAAGTTGACTTCACAGGGAGGAAGCCAGGGCAATAAAAAATGAAACCTTACTGGCCTATTTCTTTCCATCTCCTGCTCACCATTTCCATTGGCTGAATTGAACTGAAAACCAAAAGTCAAGGGAGCTTGTTGACCTGTCCTTACAGTTCAGCCTCTTGGGCAGAGAGAAAGGTGTTAAAGAACAGAGAGTGAGCCTAGAGGGGTCAGAAAAGATACCCCACCTGCAGATATACAAAGAAGAGGGGAATTAGTGATTACTGGTATCTTCTGCGTAGAGGTTTACATTCCTTTTCTCATTAAACTTATAAGAGGCCTTTGAGATGGAATTGTACCATTTACAGTTGAGAGAACTTATGTTCAGGTAGATTAACAATTTATCCAAGATTATATACCAGGAAGAGATAAAAAGATTAATGCTAAAGTAAGTTTAACTCCAAAGCTTATGCCTTAATCAAAGGATTATGCATTTTCCCAAGTCAGACACAGAGATGCATGTATAAATTGTGGGCTACACAGAGCAATGGTGAAGAGCCCAGGCTCTGGAGACAGACTGTGACATTGTGAGGATTATATGTAATATGTGTAGAATAATGCCTAACATAAATGCTTTATAGATGATTGTTCTTATCATTATAGAAGGATTAAAAGCTAAAAATCCCTCATGCTAGAGAGAGAAAAATTATGTGAGTTCAACAGTTTGGTAGGAGATCAAGGGTACTTGCTGGATACTTTGGAGAGAGGAACAAGAAGAGATACTAATGAAAAAAAACTTTGGCAGTTTCGTTCTTTTTATGGTTCTGATACAACTTGCGTATGGTACAGGACAGCAATTGTGCGCCGTTTATATAGGAGAATGGAGTATATTATCTGAATGAATTCTGTAGTAGATATTTGTCATTTGGCCTTTTTTTCTTTGCCTAACACTATTCCATTCCACTTCTGATATGAATTCCTGAATGTTAAAATACTTTGGTAATAAACAACAGAAACCAACACTGGCTTATGAAACCAAAAAAGCATATTGGGATAGCTCACAAAATCAAAGAAACTGCTCTATCAAAAATCTCGGGGAAAACTCAAAGGTACTCTATAGAGATCATCTGTATTAAGTCATGAAACTTCTCTTTAGGAAGCCACCACTGGATGGTAGTTCAAACCACCAGGAGATGGACTATTACTGCCCCAACTTGGGTCAGATCTTTTAATTCTTGGATTAGTTAGCCATATCAAGAAACAGGAGAGGAAGCACAGACTTAGTCACTGGAGGAATTGCTGAAAACTAAGAAGGCACACCAGTTGTATCTAAAATGCTGAAATATGAATAATTCCTTATTTTAGCATTTTTTTCTGAATAAATGACTTACAATATTCATATTAGCTTCAGGGTTTGCATTGTTTCCTTTCTTGTCATAACCATACATAGATCCAAGAAGAAGCATCCAGCATGCTGCTGCTAAAAGCTGCCACATTTGGGATCTGCCTAGGAAAGGAAATTTAATATATTTGTCATCAAAGATAAATTCTACGAAGTGAAATTTGGTGTAATCTTTTTATAACACTGCTATGAGAGAGAGCAGAAACATACTTCTAGGCTGTGCTTTAACCAGTAGAATACTGAATTATACAACATTCATTCCATGAAAAATCTAAAATGACTTTTTAGTAAGAAAAGAAAAGGCACAAGGAAAGAAGAAAAGAGGGAATGAATGGAAAGGAACAGAGAAACCAATCAATCAAGTTTCCAGTAGATAACTGGACAAAAGAGGGAATAGATAATGTGTAGAAAAGAAATATAATGGCCAATAAATTAATCAAAGCACATTTGGTATCTCTAGTTACTAGATTGGTTGGTACTTTTTTCTGATGGTAGAGTTAATCATTGGCAAAACCTTTATGAAAAAAATTTGTTAACATGTCTTGTAAATTTAAAAGTATTCATAACCTTCACTCAGTAATTTTGTTTTCAGGAATCTATCTAAAAGAAAAATGACGTGTATATAAACACTGGGTATAAAATTATTTCTTATTATATATCTTAAGACAGTAAAATTTCCCAAAGTAAGAGACTGTTGACCTAAATTATGGGTGAGAAAAAATGGAATTATTCAGTCATCAAATATTATGCTTATGTGTGATATGTGAAAATTCCTACTACATAATACGTAGGGAAAAACAGACTTCAAATTGTGCATATATTTTGAGTTCAATGATGACACAAACCATAATAGAAAAAAAAAACCTAAACATCAAATTTTAATTATAGTTATATCTAGATGGTGAATATTTGGATGATTATTTTCTCATTTTTAAAGTGTTTTTCACACTTTCTAAATTTTCTATATCCAGTATTACTTTATCATAGGAAAAACATTATTATTTAAACTTTTTTTAAAATTGTGAACATTGTGGAGAGAAAAAGATTATGAGTATTTCTCATTTGTCTTTGAAACTACTTAAGTTTAAAGCAAAGAACAACTTTGCAAAAACAACCAAGGGGAACATTTTTCAAGAGGGCTTCCTTTTACAGTTACTTATAAAATACAGATCTTCAAATTATGTTAGAAAATACACCCTCCCTGCTAATCTGTTTTGCTATTGTATAGTAATATAATATATTGACATATAAATTAATACAGGTTAATATAGCTTGATTCTGGTGCAACTCTATGGCAGCAATAATAATATCACCTTCAGAAGCAATAATTATTATTGCTGTCATAACTGCTCTTATAACTATGTATTGAGCACCTATTATGTACCAAATAATGTGCCGGACATATATGATTTTATTTTATTCTCAAAATAATTCTAAAGGGTAGGAAATATTGGGCTGGGCATGATGGCTCATGCCTGTAATCCCAGCACTTTGGAAGGCTGAGACGGGCTGATCACTTCAGTCCAGGAGTACGAGACCAGCCTGGGCAACACGGAAAACCCTGTTTCTAAAACAAATACAAAAAATTAGCCAGCCATGGTGGCATGCACCTGTAGTCCCAGCTACTCATGGGGCTGAGGTGAGAGGATCACCTGGGCCCAGGAGTTTGAGACTCCAGTGAGCTGTAATAGCACCACCACTGAACGCCAGCCTCGGTGACAGAGTGAAACCCTGTCAAAAAAAAAAAAGAAAAAAGAAAAGAAGAAAAACAATTTAAAAAAGGATGGGAAATATTGTCCTCATTTTATTTAAAATAAAACTGGGTCTTACAAAGTCAAGTAATTTGCCCAACATCAAACAGATGGTCATGGAGGCAGAATCTGAACTCAGGTTGCCTGACTCTAGGAAATGCAAATGAAGACTGTGCTCTTAACCACTCCGTCCATTCAGACTAGTTTTACAGGGGCCCTCTGGCTTCTGTGTGTCTAATTAGTGTTTTTCTAAGTATGGCCCATAGACCACAGGCATCATAATCACCATGAAAAACACTGAAGACTCTTAGACATCACACTGAAAACCCTTAGACCTCACCACCGCCTAGCTGAAGGAGAATCTATTGAGGGGGCTTGGCCCAGCAATCTGCATTTTAAACCATCATTACAAGTGGTTCATATGCATTCTAAAGTTTAAAAAACAGCCAGACTGGTTGGATTCTTTCAGAAGATAAACTACTTCATTCTTGTTTCTGTTTATCTGAGACCTAGCATGCAGGTTTTTATAAATGCCAATAAAATGGATGGATGAAGGAGTACATGAATATGTTATTTAATCTTTTTTTTCCTGAGACGGAGTTTTGCTCTTGTTGCCCAGGCTGGAGTATAATGGTGCGACCCCGGCTCACTGCAACATCTGTCTTCTGGGTTCAAGGGATTCTCTTGCCCCAGCCCCCGGAATAGCTGGGATTACAGGCGCGTGCCGCCACACCTAATTTTTTGTAGTTTTAGTAGAGACGGGGTTTCACCATTTTGGTCAGGCTGGTCTCGAACTCCTGACTCCTGCTGATCCACCCACCTTGGCCTCCCAAAGTGCTGGGATTACAGGAGTGAGCCACCGCACCTGGCCATGTTATTTAATCTTAATGACTATGCCAAATTGACTCACTATTTTATATTACATATTGCTTCACTGGTTTGATTTTATTCCACTTCATCATTCCTCACTGAGAGTAAGCTTCGAATGTTGATCAGGTCCTTACCTCAGGATTATATTTTATGGCAAAGTAGTAGGGAAATGTGTAAAAATTGGTCTTCTCTCTCAAGGCTTTGACAGTTAACATGGTCTCATTTCTGCTGAGTGGCTGGCGTTTTGAGGCCTCTGAATCAAAATCACCAGTAAGTAAACCTGGGGTCCTTGTGTTGGAGCAGATCCAGCTCTCTTCTGAAATGGCTAATCCTGTCGGTGTTGTAATGTTGCAGGGGAAGAGGGCTGTGAGCTAGCACAATGTGCTGCTTATAGGAAGAGCTGGGAGCCAGCCCCAAGGGATGGCACAAGGATATACTAGCCATGACAGATTGCCTTTTGTAACCATGACATACAGCCCATCAGCTGCCTTTGTTTTGTTCCCCTGTGTTATATGGATCTGGATATAGAAGGATGACACACCGCAGCAAGAGGAGTCTATACGTGTTCCATTTAGGAAGGAGTGTCAAGTCCAATCTAAACAGCCTGTCTTCCAGCACCTCTTACAAGGGATGTTCTTACCTGCTTTGCCTATCCAAGCTTTATAGCATTAACTATAATTGTTGGGTAAGGGTGCTTGATTCAGGAACCTCTCTTAATAATACTCTGAGTTTTTTTATTTCTTTGACCTGTTTCTGTGACAGCTCCCTGATGAATATTGCCTTCTCATGTGTCCCACATCGACATTCTGCTGGTTCATATATCCTTATATTCTATATAATATCATATATCCTTATATCCTGTTTCATATATCCTTATATGCTAATGCATATAAGGATATTAGACTAAGAAATATAAAGATATTAGACTAATAAATATAAGGATATTAGACTAAGGATATGCTAATGCATATAAGGATTTTAGACTAAGAAAAAAGCAGACATGATAAATTCAGGGGATTCTCAGTTTTTAAAGATGTGACCCTTGGTTGCAAGTACTCAGATTAAATCACAATAGATTATATTTATTGTATATTTTATTATAGATATAATCTATAATAGATTTTATTGATTTATCACTGTAAATCAGCTTTTCACATTGCCATCCTACAAAACATGACTCCCATAAAATGCTATTTGTATAAAGAGGCCATGGGCAAATATATGTTCAACTATATATGTATGTGTACATATTATATATATGACTTCCTTGGAGACTTATAGACTGTGTGTGTGTGTGTGTGCATAAAACTTGCTTGGATATTCAGACTACACACACACATACACACACATGTATCTGGATACACTTATATAAATGCTATAAACATCACTTATTTGGAGAGCCTTAGTTTATAATTAAGGTTCACTATAGTCCTGCAGTCAAGACTCTATTTAACTTTATTTAACCTACTTTTCTGCCGTCTTTTTTAAAAATTTTATTTTGGATTCAGGGGTAGATGTGCAGGTTTGTTATATACGTAAACTTGTGTCATGGAGGTTGGTTGCACAGAGTATTTCGTTGCCCAGGTACTAAACCTAGTACCAAATAGTTACTTTTTCTGATCCTCTTCCTCCTCCTACCCTCCACCCTCAAGTAGGCCCCAGTGTCTGTCATTCCCCTCTTTGTGTCCATGAATTATTAAATGCTGATTTAATATTTCTTTCTCTATTTACTATACCAAAAAAATCTATATAATGAAGGAAAGGCTAAAATAAGTGGGCAAAAATTGGAAATGTCTCTTTCAAAAGTTTCTTCAGGCAGATGCTCTACATGACAGTGGAGACAGCTGCTACTTTTACTCAAATTTGGTTGGAAAAAGGTACATTACTTGCAAGACCCTCTTCCCATGCTCAAAATCTCCCTTTCTCCAATAGTTGCTTTTTGTCCGCTCCCTGCCCCCAACCCCTCTAGCTACTGCAGTCAGTAGGAAATATGAGACTTTCAAGAGAATATTGCCTTGATGCATGTTTGATTTTATACTGGGTTTACATATTGTATATCAAATGCATGTGGATTATATGTAGGCAGCTCTCATAAGTAATGCATTTTGCACTGACAAATACATTGATGGTGAAATCAAGGATAGCAATTTCTCAACAAAAGAATATCAGAAGTAATAGAGACCTTAATTCCATTTTTCTCATTGCCCAATAATAGGAACTATCAGGCTCATCAAGCAAACACTTAATAACAACTTATGGCAATGCTTGGAGAGCATTCTTAACCAGTCCCCACCCTAATTCTTCACTGTATTCGTAAATGGAGGTGAGAATTGGCCAGAGTGTGCAGGTACAAAGACCCCACAGAAAACTCTAAGCTCTAAGTTTGGAAAACTCTTAAGTTTAAAAAATGCAAAGGGGTCAGTTTCTACAGAAGAATTTCAGTTTGATCAATGGTAAAATAAAGCTAATGATGAATCCCTGAATGCTTTGTGGAGAATTCTGAGTTAAAATTCTAACTCTGTCCTTCAGAAGATATGGCAGCCATGAGAATGCAGCTGTCAGAGCTTCAACTGCAGGGAGCAAAACTGGCTATGAGCCACAGCTCCTGTGTCTCAACTCCATCACTAGCTTCCCAGTGAAGCCGCACATTGTAGACACTTCCTAACTATTGACTATTACTGTTTTTATTATTAGTTGTGTGATTGCTAGGCAATTAAACTTCTCTGAAACTTAATTTTCTTATCTGTATGGTGAGGATAATAACACCTACGTGTAGGGTTGGCTTAAGATGATAAAGATGTGATAAATAAGATGATAAATAATGTCTATAAAACATCTAACAATGCTTGACTCTCAGTAAATGGTAGCTCTTGTTATACCATGTCTTCTACTTCTGTGATTATTTCAGATGTATGTCTTGGTTCTTCAACTAGTTCATAAGCTTCTTAAGGACAAGAACCACATATTATACTTTATATTATAAATACAAATACTTCGTATTTATAACTTTTTAAATCTTCTGTGTCTCTAGTTTTGCTCATACTGAATATGGCACAATTATTTCAATTGACTTATGAAAAATAACAACATATTTTGTACCAACACTTCTCAAATAGAATAAGAGCAGCCAAGAATTTCTGTTTACTTATTAATTCTATTAATAATATTCATTTTTCACTGTATAGAGTACTTTACCTATTTAATCTATAATTTATATACCATGGACTGAGCATCTATATGCTTAATCATTATAATCATTATTTTTCCATCGCTAGCAAACGTAAATGTCAATTTAGAATTTGAACAATATCTGTTTTACTCAATTTCTTTTCACTGGGTCTTACTACCCCTTATGAAGATAGTTTGGGAACAGTGTAACTCATTGGAAGATTACAAGAGAGGAACAATTTTGTCTTAACAAATTTGAGTATAAAATTCTTATGAGTGACAAAGTAAAAAATAGGATAGGGCCCAGAAAAATGAAAATAGAAAATTTCTTGTATATGCAGGTTACCTGGTAAACAAATAAAAGACACAAAACAAAGCTGATGTCAACATGCACAATAAAATGTAAGCAAAATGTATGACATTCTCACAGCCCAAGGAAGACATGACAAATGGGATAAAAATTTATATATATAATATATAATTTTCTAAAGTATATATATAAAATTTTCATCCTATATTATACTTGGCTTCCTTCTATATATATAGATCTATATATATAAAATTTCCTAAATAATATGTATGTATATATATAGAAGGAAGCCAAGTATAATATTAGTGAAAGACATGAAACCATATCTTGCCTGTCATCAGTTATGGCATACATTTTTTGTTTCATCTTTTCTTGATTAGTGAGCTAAGAAAGATATGGAAAAGAAATGTGGGAATGTAGAATGCATGGGAGGAAGAAAGCAATTATATAACAGATCATTATTTGGACAAAAGGATAAAAGGTCCATATTTATAATGAATCGATATTACCTATATGATCTTAAGAAGGCTAAACAAAAAACTGAAAGAGCCTCTTTCCTGCCCCAAGAGAGAGACAGAAAATGAGAAAAGTTAAAGAAAGGAGCCAGGAAGGCAAAGAAAAAGAGAGTGGGGAAGAAATAAATCAGAAAAAAAAAAACATTAAATAATACAAGTTTAGGCAACCTGAGTGATGTTTTTTCACTTCTTATCTTAATAAGCTATGTTTGAGCAATTTTTACATGTTCAGTTGTTGGTAAACAATGGAATGGCTGGTCTTGAGTAATATATTTCTATATATTTCCAGATGAGATATTAGCAGGAATTTTATGGCAATTGTGCATTCAGCTTATTTTTGTCTGTAGATCAGATGGTACATCATTATTTCCCAACTGTGTGCTGAGGAGGAAAAGTTTATTATCCTCTTCTCTATCACAATGCACAATTAGGAGAGTTACTGGGAGTTAATGAAAGAATTCTAGAAAAAGAGTCCGAAAAACAGAAGACCTATAGTGTGGGCCTTTCTTTTCCTATCTGGGAAAACACGTGGACCTTAAAAATGCCTATGCCACCTTCCTCATGAGGTTGTTGCAAAGTTCCAAAGAAATAATGCTAAAGACAGCATAACTAAATCATAAAAAAATAGAAAATACCGGAATATAAGGCAGGATGCATCTTCTTTACAGAAAAACCCAAGAGTAGAAGGTGAATATCTTCTGCTATGTTTCTAAAATAACTCAAGCAAAGTTAAGGACCAAGACGAACCTTTCCTTTACAATCATTTGAATGAAAAGATCTAGAAGGGAGCAGAGAGACATTCCAAAGGAATCTGGTATTCACAACCAGGTATTTAGCAGATGGTTTGAGAGCTCATCCCTATGTTTACTATTTAAATGAACTGGATGACAAAACAGACAAATCCTGGAATCAAACATGTGGGATCTCTCCTGCTGTCTCCTAGTCACCCATCCGCTTCTTCATCTCTGGTGTTCTGACTCCCAGCTCCACCCTTTGCTAGCTACATGCACTGGTCTCTTTCCCCATTCTCCTTGATCCAACAGCATCTTATCATCTGTCTGCTGCTCACTCTTTCTTTCTCCCCAAACTCATTCTCTCAAGTATCTCTCACTAATCACATACTTTCATATATTCCCTAGGTGAGAAAAAAAAATCCAAATCCATACATCCCACATGTGAACCTCTAATTCCATATTCCCTCAAGCCTTCAGGATACTTCCACTTTGATTTCTTTTTGCAGTCTTTAATCCAGTATCCCCTCAAATAGAATTATTCTCTTTTTCTTTTTCAATTCCTCTTTTATTTCAATTCCAGAATCTGTATCCTCCCAATCTTGAAAGCTGGAAACTGAAATTTTCCTATATTCTGGCCAGGCTCAGTGGCTCATGCCTGTAATCCCAGCACTTTGGGAGGCCGAGGCGTGTGGATCACCTGAGGCCAGGAGTTCCAGACCAGCCTGGCTAACATGGTGAAATCTGTCTCTACTGAAAATACAAAAATTAGCCAGTTGTGGTGGCACACGCCTGTAGTCCCAGCTACTCGGGAGGCTGAGGCAGGAGAATCACTTGAACCCGAGAGGCAGAGGTTGCAGTGAACCGAGATCGGGCCACTGCACTCCCACCTGAATGACAGAATGAGACTCTGTCTCAAAAAAAAAAAAAAAAAAAGAAATTTTCCTGAATTCTCTGATTTCCTCAAACTCTATTGCCAATCTCTTAATAAATAGTGATATTCTTTCAAATATTTTCAAACTCCTTTTCAAAACTTTGCTCAATTATCTCTTTTCTCTGTCATTCTTTTTAAAAAGTTTTCAATTATTACTATTACCTATCTAGTCTAGTATCTAATTCCTAATATCTTATATCATTATACTGGTCTCCTGCCTGGTTTTTCATTTTTGAGTCTTTATGAGTCGAATCGTTATGTATGTTGCCAAAAGATTAATTTTTACAAAATCATTTTATCATATTAAATATCCATTTGAGAAACCATAATGAAAAACTTCCACTTCCAAATATGGTGGTGTAACTCATACAAGACTAGTTCTCTCACTAGATCAAATATACAAGTCAATTGTTTTCAGTCATCAGATAATAGGGTACAAATTTGCAATCTTGAGGTAGGCATATTTTAAAAACTCAATAGAGGAATCATGACAGAATGCTAATATTTTATTATCCTAGAATAAGGCAGAAAACAGGCAAGGAAGGAAGGAAAGCAGGAAGGAAGGAAGGAGAAAGAAAGAGAGAGAGAAAGAAAGGAAAGAAAGAAAGAAAGAGAAACAGAAAGAAAGAAAAAAGAAAGAAAAGGAAGAAAGAGGACAAGTGGAAAACAAATAGTGAAAGATCAGAATGGCAGATTTAAACAAAACTGTACCAAAAATTACATTAAATGCTAATACAGAAAATACTCTAAAAAAAGGCAAATATTGTCAGACTATAATATGTATAAAAAAAGCGGGGCCCAACTATGTACTTTCAACAAAAGCACACTTTAAATGTAAAGGAAAATGGGTTGAAAGTAAAAGAAATAAATATATCATACAAGCAGTAAGAATAAGAAAGCTGTCAAATTTATAACAGACAAAGTAGGCTTCAAGACAATGAACATTATCAGAGTCAAAGTGAGATATTTCATAATGTTAATTCATCTAGAAGACAAAAGTCAATTCATCAGGAAGATAAAACAACCCTAAATATGTAGGCATCCAATAATAGAACTTCAGAATATGAGAAGATCAAACTGATAGAGATACAGGTAATTATTCAGTTTCATAGCTGTATGTTTCAACATATCTCTTTCAATAATTGGCAGAAAAATTAGACAGAAATAATATAGAAATATAGAAAACCTGAACAGCACTATTAACCAATTTGTTATAATTGACATTTGCAGAACATGCCTAAAGAACCCATAGAAACTGAAGCAATAAAAATGGAAAATAGAAGATATTTGCAACTAAATGATAATAAAACATGACATATCAAAATTTGACATACAGCCAAAGTACTGCTTAGAAATAAATTTAGTGATTTAACTGCCAGTGTTAGAAAAAAGTTTATAATCAATTATCTGAGTTTCTACCATAAAAAGTTAGAAAAAGAGAATCAAATTAATATCAAAGTAGTATGAGGAGAGGAATAATAAAGAGGAAATAATAAAATAAATAAACATATTAGAGAAAATTAATAAAGCCAAAAGTTGGTCCTTGGAAAAAATTAATAAAAATCAAGTAACCCTAACAAAACTAATCAAGGAAAAATAGAGCTACAATATGTGCCAATATCAGAAATAAAATAGTACATATCATTAACAATACAAACAATAAAATAAGAGAATATTCTGAAAACTGCAAATAAATTTGATAAATTATATTAACTAGACAAATTCCTTGAAAAACACAACTTAAAAAACCATTTCCAGAAGAAAAAGAACATTTCTATATCTACTTTAAAAGTTGAATTTGTTTTATAAAATATTTCCACGTGCATGGACAAAAATTACAGATCCACATAGTTTCATTGGTGAGCATCCTATCTAATATGCGGAAGAAATTATTACACTCATCGACGATTTTACAGAGTTATAACACTGAAGTTGTTCATGTGTCCCTGAAGTTGTTAGCATACAACCCTTCTTGACAAACTATTCTTAGTGTTCTGATGGATAAATTGGAGCCAAGGTTATTAGAATAATATGGAAATTAATCAAAGGAGCAAATAGTTTAAAATGATCAGTTTTAAAATTGGGAAGTACGTTTGACAAAACTCAACACCACTTTATAATAAAAAATTTTTAGGAAAATAGAAATGAAAAGGAACTCAATCAGATGAAGGAATTCTATAAAATATCCTCCAGGTACAATTATAATTAATGCTAACATATTGAATACTTTCACCTTAAGAATGAAACAAGAGAAAGCATGTCTTTCTTATCACCTCCATTTACCGTGATACTGGAGGTGCTATTAAATAAAATAAATCGAAAGAGAAAACAACAACAACAACAAAGATGGGAAAGTAGAAACAACACTAAATTTATTTTATTTTATTTTATTTTTATTTTTATTTTTTTGAGACAGAGTCTTGCTCTGACACCCAGGCTGGAGTGCAATGGCATGGTCTTGGCTCACTGCAACCTCTGCAGTGAGCCTCTCCTGGGTTCAAGTGATTCTCCTGCCTCTGCCCTGCAAGTAGCTGGGATTACAGGTGCCCACCACTGCGCCTGGCTAATTTTTGTATTTTTAGTAGAGATGGGGTTTCACCATGTTGGCCAGGCTGGTTTCAAACACCTGACCTCAGGTAATCCGCCCACCTCGGCCTCCCAAAGTGCTGGGATTACAGGTGTGAGCCACCACGCCCAGCCTAAATTTATTTTTACATGGTGTGGTGATGCACATAGAAAATCCTAACTAGTCTACACAAAACCCACTATATCTAATAGATGAATACAGAGAAAAGTATTAAGATACAAAGCTAATATTTAAAAAGCAATTGTTTTTTCTTATGCTGATAAAGTAGATAGTTCATAAAACTATGCTTCTTTCAGAACTGTATTTTCTTGCTTTGAAAGTTTATCCCTCTTTTTTTCTAGTCGCCAGAAATAAAAACACTGTTATGGTAATACAACAAAAAATCAAAATGCAATTAGGACAATAACAGCTATAATTTTTGGTATCTATCACATATAATAACAATTGGAAATAACTATATGGCGTTGACTTTAAAAAGTGATTTATAAGAATTAAGTTACAAACAACTCTATTGGTAGGTGCTACTATTATTATCTCTATTATCCTCTTTTTGTTGGTTTGTTGTACAGAAAGTGGAACTCATGCAAAGAGAGGGTAAGTAGGTTAGCTAAATTCACATAGCTAGAAATTGCTATAGCGATATTTGTATCTGATTGGTTTGATCCCAGAGTCTACAGATGTAACCACCTCTCTATACTGTGTCTCCTGTGTGATGATGGAGTATCCCATGTATTTCATTTCTTTAAATGACTACCAGGATGCATACATTTCATGAAATTCCAGTAACCTATAGCTAATATAGAGTTACAGGCTGAAAATCTTATTCAAAAGAAGTTGGTCATCTTTTCTTTCAGTTTCCTTATATCTGACCCTCTGGTTAAAAACAAAATAAAACTCTTTATTCAAGAGAAAGAAATTATGGACTATTGCAATGCACTATTTCAAAGCTTTCTCTTTCTCTCTCTTCTTCCCATGGTAACAGTAAGAATCACACTAGCATTTTCATTTTAAATAGGACTGTTCTCTGAAGAAAATAAGCAGAAAAGTAAATGGAAACAGTACAGATACATCAGCTCAGATAAATCCCTGCAAAAGCTATAATTAGGCTAAGCTGATGTATGTGTTAATGAGAAGTGGCTCAGATGATTCAGAGTATGGAGCCTGGAATTAATAAAAAAAAACATTATCTGGAACAAGGATATGACTTTCACAAAGAATATGGGAGGGAGCAGTACTATATTTACAATAGACACCTTATCTGTTCAGCATGTATGAGAATTTAGGCCATTAACAGGTAAATGTTAGGTCCACATTATGGTAGGTCCACAGTATGGATTTGCTGAATAAGTGCATGAATAGTAAGTAGGTAAATGAAGCTTACTTGCATTGTTACCAGTCATTTTTATTGTTGCTGTCATAGCTAGTTTTAGTTCTTTTTAGCTAAAAAAATTACTGAAACATTGTAAAATTTTATCTATTAAAAAGTGGTAAAATATGATTTCAACTGAGAGAGTTCAGAGTCATCATTGCACTACACTTGCTATGCTAACAAAAATCAAAATAATGAGAAATACATTGAGCAGAAGATCTGTAAAATCTTTACACTGAAAATTACAAAACAAATCCAAATACATAGAGAGATATACTTTGTTTATACATCAACAGACTCAACAGATTAAATTATATGTTGTTTAATAACTTTTGACATAGGTTTCAATGTATTTCAATGAGAAAGTATTTTCAACAATTATTCCTGCAGGAACAATTGGAAATCAATTTTGAAAAAAGTAACCTTGATACATTTCCCAAACCAGATACAAAAATATACCTCAGATTGCAAATCTAAAACTAAAAGCTTAAGTACAAAGTTGTTAGAAGATAACAAAGAATAATATCTTTACACGTTTGGGGTAGACAACTAACCATAAGCAAAAAAAAGATTAAAAAATTATTAAAATAAAAAACTTCTGTTCTTCAAAAACATCATCAAAAAAATAGGCCGGACACAGTGGCTCACGCTTGTAATCCCAGTACTTTGGGAAGCCAAGGCAGGTGGATCACTTGAGGCCAGGAGCTCAAGACCCACCTGGCCAACATGGTAAAACCCCATCTCTACTAAAAATTCAAAAATTAACCAGGCATGTTGGTGCATGCTTGTAATCCCAGCTACTCATAGGAGGCTGAGATATGATAATCACTTGAACCCAGGAGGTGGAGGTTGCAGTGAGCCGAGATTGTGCCACTGCACTCCAGCCTGGGTGATAGAGTGAGACTGTCTCAAAAAGCAAAGGAAAAGAGAAGAAACAAAACAGCTAATGTACAACTTGAGGGCTATAGTTTATTGTATTGTACTTGGAATTTTGGCTAAAAGAGTACATTTTAAGCGCTCTTGCCACGCACACAAAGGGTAACTAGGTAAGATTATTGATACGTTAATTTGTTTGACTATAGTAACCATTTCACTACATATATATATAGCAAAACATCACGTTATTCACATTAAAATATATGCAATAATAAAATAAAAAGACAATTCACAGACAAAAGGAAAATATTTGCAACAGATATTTGATAAAGGACTCTAGGAAATTTCAAGAACTCCAGAAATAAATAACAACAAAAAAATTAAATTTAAAAAATGGACAAAATACTTGGACAGACAGTAAACAAAAGAGAATAGATGGAAGGTCAATAAACACAAGAAAAGATGTTCAACATTGTTAGTCATCAGAAAGAAATGCAAAGTTAAACCCTAGAGAGATACTACTGCATACTCACTAGACTAGCTAACATCAACTGCACCAAATGTTGGGGAAGATGAGGAGCTACTGGACCTTTCCATATATTGATGATGGGATATATATTTATAGTTTATAATATCACAGTGACTCTCAGAAACTCTAACAGTTTCTGAAAATCCTGTGAGATAGCAATTCTGCCTTTAGGTAGTTGCTTAAAATAAAAGAAAATATTGGTTTGCAAGATTGTTCGCTGAAGATTTATTCACAAATAGCAAATTATTGAAAATAATACAAATGTCCATTAGTAGTAGAATGGACACATAATCATGTTATATTTATGTAATGGAATGCTTACTACTCATCGACACATTCAACAGCCTGGATAAATATCACAAACGTTATGCCGAATGAAAAAAGCGCAAAGGAGTGCATACTCTGCGGTTGAATTTCTGTAAAGGTCAAAAACAGATAAAACTAATTCATAGGAATAGAAATCACAATAGTGTTTGCTTGGTTCTAGGGCAAATTTTGACTGGGGTAATTGCTAAGATTCATCAAACTGTACAATTCAGATCTGTGCATTTTACTGAATGTAATTATACCACAATTAAAAGGAAACTGGAAACTGTTGCAAAGCAGGTGTTTTCAACATTTACTAGTGCTGGTGTAAACTAGTAAAACTTATTTGACATATTGCTGTAATTACTAGGAATTTTAAAGAACATCCACATTTTATATCCCAGTAGTTCCACTCAATAAATACATGCTAAAAAGATAAATTCTCAACTTGGAGAGGGATCTTTTTGTACAAGATTGCTTTAATTCTTGTTATTTGTAATAAAAATTAAAAACATGTTTTCAATTACAAGAGAATTTTAAAATAAACTATAATATATTAATTTAATCTTGTAGATAAGTCCATTAAATTATTTTAAAGACTATATAAAAACATGAAAGCATACTTATAACATTATGTTAAATAGAGGAAAAAGTTGTTGGGCAAAAGAATTGTATATACCAATAGTCTATAGAGTATACAATAACTTTCAAGAAATACATAGGCACATACCTAGTTTTAAAAGAATGAAATTCTAGACCTTTGACTCTCATCTACACTCTTTTGTAATACTAATTTGGCCTGAGAATTTCTGGTTTGAAGCAGGGTCTCCTTTTCTAACTTTGCAAAGGAAAAGCCCAACCCTCTCCTTTCCTGAATCTTACGATGTGAATTGTTCTAGGCTGTATAAATGGCTGAGACTCCCTAACAAGAGAATAATTGACAATATTGACATTGGTATTGGGAAAGGAACTGACCTTAATAAAATAGCAGTCCCTTTCCAAGGGCATTTAACTTCTGCAAGTCGGTTTCGAATTCTTTGCTTAAAAAAAAAAAAATAGAAAGAGGATGCACTTGAGTGGTTAGTAGATAGATCATAAAAAATAATTTTTGTGTCTTGGCTGGAAGCCATCATTCTCAGCCAGCTAACAGGAACAAAAATCCAAACACCGCATGTTCTCACTCATAGGTGAGAGTTGAACAATGAGAACACAGGGAGGGGAACATCACACACTGGGGCCTGTCGGGGGGTGGGGGACAAGGAGAAGGATAGCATTAGGAGAAATACCTAATGTAGATGACGGGTTGATAGGTGCAGCAAACCACCGTGGCACATGTATACCTATGTAACAAACCTACACATTCTGCACATGTATCCCAGAACTTAAAGTATAATAAAAAAATAAAATAATTTTTGTTGATGCATCACTATGTGATTTGTGACACAGAGCTTCATAAAGAGTTCAAAAAATTGTGGCATTATGTAAACATGGTTTCTCAGCACTCACATCTATTCAAAAAATGAAAAAGAATTGATGATGAATTTTGTTTCATTCTGTCAATAAATAATCATCATCAATGGATGCAGAATTTAAAAGGCAAAGATCTATTTACGTCATTAAGAAAAGCATCACCAATAAAGTTTTACTCCTAATGCTTAATCATTTTTCATTAAACTTTTAATGTGTTATGATCCTTTGGACAATTATATACAAAGAAAAATTAAAATCACACATCATTAAAAACTTTTTACAAAATGCAACCTTATGGTCACAGGAAATGAAAACAATTTAAGTTTTAATGTATATGGACCTTTTAGTTGCAGAGAATAATCTACTGATCAATAAAAGAAATAATAACACAAATATGTTATATTAAAATATATTTGTAGGAATATGTAAAACATCTGTAGAAATGACTGGAATGAGAATATGAATAGAAAGAGAAAAATAAAAGATGTAAAACTTTAAATTCATTAAGGGAATTTTTAAATGGATGATATTAGGCATCAAATCATTATTCTATTGGATTCATTTTGAAAATTGTGTAGCAATTTAATTTTAAACTATTAATATTTACAATGTGCCATAAAGTGCACCTTAGCAATGATTTAAAAATATGACATAAATTTTATATGCCAACCTAAAAATTTGCAGTCACTTACAGAGTTTTGCAAACTTTGGGACTATAGAAGCAAAAATAATATTTAAGCAACTGTTATATATTTTTAAATTTTTATTGTTTTTAAACTTCTAAAACAAATAAACAAAAAAGTATGGTCTTCAAAAGACTAGAAGAATTACTCCAAAATGAAAATGGTTATATTTGGTCACTGGGAATAAACATTTTCTCTCTTCCACTAATTTACTTATTGGTTATATATTTTTCTTGATGAATTTATTAGCTTGAATCATCCTTATAATAATAGCAAAGGTTATGACATTTAGAAATAATTATGTATAAATTTAAACTCAATGACCTGTGAGTAAATGTCCTAGATGTCTTCTTAGGGGCAAAGTTCAGAAGTTTTAGTACTTCCATCTTGTAATAATCATTTCAGCAGTATCGCATAGTTTTTGTTTATTAAAAGATTCTTGGCAGCCATACAAATGACTGGGTTTGCCAGAAGACTGTTGTTTATCAATTAGAATGTTTTTGCATCTGCCACATTTTTCCTTTTTATCTGACATTTTAAATCTAAAAACCCACTGGGTGTTTACAGAGATTTAGGATCTGTCTTGCTCCTACCTCAGCATCCTTCATAAAGCTCTAATACTTTTAACCTCTTACCAAAACAGAGTGACTCACAACTATTAGTGGTCAGGTTAGTCAGAAACTAGATTTAAATTGCTTCCCTGTTTTTCCCCCACCCACAGGGTGAAAGACAATGAATCAGGAAGACTGAGGAGACTATTAACAAGTGAATGAAAGGAAATCTTTACCTAATAGGATATCCAGTCCTAAAAATTGTAGATTTGAGAATTAAACACCTAGCACATTTGAATCAGGAAGAAAGACTAGGCAACTTTGATGGAATTTTCAAATAGGTTAAGAGGCCAGTAGCTCTGTGCTCTAAGCCTAGAGGCAAGCAGAAAAGAACAAGAGTCTTGGGATAAATGGGAAATAAAATGCCAAGGCAGAAAAAAATGAATAACAAACATTTAAAGAGCATTATATTTCACATGTCTTCGATAATATGAAGGACAAAACACTTGTCCTGCCTGGTAAAATAGGGTCTGAAAGATTGTTCCTTCAAATTAAAGGCAAAAATTAAATAAAATAAACCACAAAGGAAGAGCAGTGAAGGAAATAATTTTTCCCTCAATGTCCTTACAAAGTAAGGGAGAGACAGGATAGTCCAGTGAAGGAATATGAAACCAAGTCATTTTAGAGTAAAATGGCACTTTAACTTCATATTGTTATTCCAAAACTCAGTTCCATACTCTCATATTTACAGCCTGAAGTGCTAAGTATGCCAAGGTGCTATATATTTGAGTTGGTTTCTGTTTTCAGACACAAAGAAAGCCTGGTAAAAACTGCTTTCTTATTTCTAGAAAAAGAAAACAAAGGATAACTATTTTGTAAAAACAAACAAAAAATAACAGTTTGGCTTTGACACATAGAATTAAAGAATAATTATTTAATCTCTCTATGTCTAGAGGGAATATTAGTCCATCCAGTTGACTCATCTTCATCTTTCTAGCTTCCAATCAGGTCTGCAATTTAAAGGGTGACAGGAGCATGATACTCTTAAATATCATCTACATTAATGTGAACCACATTTTCACTCCTCTCCCAGTCAAACTATTTATTACAAAGCAGCAGAAAAAGAGAATGGTGTGTCCTCCACAAATGATTGATTTCATAAGCAGTTGTGTCACTCTTGACAGTCACTTTGCTTCATATTCCCCTGCAGATGACCCTGATCATAAAAAAGAATATTCATACTCAAGGCCATTGGAATGAGAACATAAAGGGCTTCCTAAAAAATGGTAAATGGTTTTGAGAACATTATCCAAACATTATTTCCCAAACCCCTAGATGCAAGACTCAAAAGAGAGGTTCATAAAATTATTTATTGCTAGATTTTTCCAAGTGTAGACTTGTGATACCTCCTCTCACTGAGGTTCAAATATAGTGATGTCTGCTTTCTAGATGCTGCAGCTTTCTGAAAGGGAAAACTTGTCATAACATACCTAGAAGACTCTCCATCTGAAGTTGTCACATTATACTCTTGCTGTATCTTGCTTAACCTGATAGAATCAAAATACAATATTCATCATCAACATGTAAAGTTCTGTCCCTCTGAAGGTTTCCTATGTCTCACTAATACACTATGATCCAGGCTCTGCAAATAGATGAAAAGTCATTACCTGATCCAAGTCTTTGGAGGTCTGTCTTCAAGTCCTGGGAGCTTCAGGTGCATTCCAGATCCTTCCAGAGGCAACTGTCAGTGGAACATGCTCTGTTTTAAACAGCTCAAAAGATGGCGCAACTAGAAATTTCTCAACTGGAAGCAGATTAATCATGGTTTCAAATATAACAGATGCTACTAAGGTAAACTTGTTAGGTGAGTTCTTAGCCAGTGATGAAAAAGAATGTGATTGAGACTAAAATTCTCACTCCTGCCAAGCCAATCCTCATGTTCCATGCCTCAAGGGTCAGATGAATTGGAAGATTCTCAGCAGAATCTGAGACTCTCTACTTAGAAAATAATTTCCACCAAGGGTGGATGAAATGACCCCAGTCATACGAGCATCTCTGTAAAATGCCACATCCTCCTGCCTCATCCAGCTGCATCACTTCTAATGCTACCACATTGTCAATTATTGCTTTGGCTTTTCTGAATTTCTTTTACCTTGGTATGTAAATTGGGCATTAGAATTGGTAGGAAATAGTATATCCAATTCTTTCAAGATCTCTAGCTAGCTAAAGGCAAATAAACAAAAACAAAACTGGCTTTTTTTTTCTACTCTCCAACCAATCTCTTTCTTGCCATGTAAGCTGTCTTGTGTCTGCACTCCATGAAAGTTTGAAATCAGATAATCTGGAATTCCAGAACTGCATAGAGCTCTATTTTCAGTAGTGGGCATTTATATTATCGAAAATTACAAGGGTAATTACAAGTCCAGTTTGGGTAAATTAAAACAACCAAATTTCTAAAATGATCTCAAAACTAATATTTTCCATGCTTCAAAGTAATCTGAAGAGGAAGAGTATTCCTGAATTATTTCCTGAATTTTCATCATTGGTTCAGACATGTCTATATACACGCAGAGCATAGGAAAGAATTGCAAACACACTTGTATCAGAACGTGCATTTTAGTCAGGTAGGACTTAGTGGCATGAGGTTAGTTTAAATACCTTCAAGTTTCTTTGGATTGTGTCAGTTACTAATTAGGTTCCATTAGAGTCAGTTTGATTGGAAATTGTAGTTGGAATTGGCTTTGCTTCCATTACTATAATAGTTTCAACCACTTAATTATTTACAGATTTACTTGATTTATGAGAAACGTTTTATATTCTTATATTTTTAATGTATAATTCCACTTAAAATGTAGTACATTCTACTGGCATGCCAATTTGAGTCTCTGAAATAAAACATAGCAACTGGAAAGATAGTTCATGTTTTGGCAATATACAAACTGCTGGAATCTAGTCTATGCTAGCAAATACAAACATTTCTATACTAGAAAACACAGATATTCTTGGGGAAAAAAGAAAAGAAACGATGGAATTTTCAATTATTACATAGTTGATCTTGAACTATTTTGCCAAACATTTTCTGCAATGCATTCCTACCCACAGGAAATCCAAATCATTGTAGTTTGGGGCACTTTTACACTGAATGGGTTATTCATCCATATAAGGACCCTTTACTGCTTTGTTTATTCTTTTATAAATTTTATTTAATTTATTTTGACCTTTGTCCCTGATCCCTACTTTCATTCAATCTCTAGTTTATCCTAAAGAGTGACCATATCACTGTAAAGTATATAGCATATATGAGATTTTCATATATTATTTTATTATAAATCTCATTGTTTCCTACTTTTCTTACTGTACATTATGCCTGTGAACTGGATTGTCTCCATAATTTGTGGGGCCCAGTGCCAAATTTTAAATATGGGACTTCTTATGAATAATAATTTAAAGATGATGACAACAAAGTGTCTAAGTGTGAGGGCCTTCTAACCACACCTTCTAATCCTCTAGAGTTGCATATTTCACACATCTATAAAGCAGGCCTGGCTTGTGAGAATCCAACATGTTGCATTAAGCATATGTTGTTTGTTACTTCTTACTGTAAAACCTCCACCTTTAAACTGTCCTATTCCCCAATGACCGATAATTTCATTCCCTTAAATTCTGCACCATTAAATATGTCAGCATTTATATGCCCCACGATGGAATAGTGTGCATGCCATACATCTAGGAATGAGAATTTTTTGGTCATAGGTCATATGGTTGATCAATTTTACTATATATTTCCGGATTATTCCAGAAATAGGCTATGCACTTCCATCAACAGTGCTGAGTATTCATTTCCCACTCAGTTTGCTAGTCTATTTCTGTCAATCTGTCATTTCTCTTTTCTTTTTCGTTTTTTTTTTTTTTTTTTTTTAACGTAGTTTTGCTCTGTGGCCCAGGCTGGAGTGCAGTGGTGCGATCTCAGCTCACTGCAACCTCTGCCTCCGGGACTCAAGTGACTCTTCTGCCTCAGCCTCCCAAGTAGCTGGGACTACAGGTGTGCACCACCATGCCCGGCTAATTTTTCTGTTTGGTAGAGACAGGGTTTCACTATGTTGGCCAGGCTGGTCTCAAACTCCTAACCTCAAGTGATCCACCTGCCTTGGCCTCCCAAAGTTCTGGGATTACAGGCATGAGCCACCACGCCTAGCCATTTCTCTTTTCATTTATGATTTAATTCATTGAACAGAAATCCATCTCTGTTTACACACATACTTGTATAGTAATATTTATGATTTTAGGGTCTTTAAAAAATTATTTCTCCAATCCCAGGACACAAAATAAAGGGGCTTTCCCTTCTCCTGTCTTGGTAGTGGCTTTAGGGCCCTGCAGAAGGGTAGGGCCCATCTTCTCTTTCACTCCCTCTCCTTGCCTTATCATGCGGAAGTAGGTGTTTTTCCATGAAACACTTCATCTCCTACTTCCATCAAGGCTTCTAACACCCCCAAGGTATGTGGGCGGATCAAGAGAAAGAACCTTGCCCTCTAACTGACTCATGCTGCCCATACTGCATGGCCAGGATGTTTACCCAGCTGCTTGTATTCCAGGTGTTAGGGAGGTCTTATAGAGAATGCATCTTTTAGAATGGAGCTGAGCTGAGTCTGTAATCTACACACATTTTAAAATTTGTGCCTTTAGGTCTGAACCAGGAATTTATTGTTTTCTTAAGGAGATTAAATTCCTTGGTATTTGCATAACAACTACTCTTGTTTTGGTTAATTACTTTGGAGTACCATCCCCTGAGGTTTGCATTTTTTGTGAGACTGTTGGTAGGGACCTAGGCTATCTGTATCTGAGGTTTAAAATCTCGAATTTAGGGTATGTGATTCTTCAATGGTGTGCAATGAGGACCTTTTGTAAGTGCACCTATGTATGTGGACCTGGTATTTTGAATGGCTGGAGTATATTAGAGCTTATGAGTCAGAGGGAAACAAGGCCCACAGACAAGACAAACATCAAAACTTACTCCCTTTGCTAATGACTGTAGCAATTCATTAAGGCGTGTGGATTTTCCTAGGAAGGGGGTGGTAAATTGGAAAACAACTGAGGAAGGTATTACAGTATGTTTTTACCCTAAGATGTCCTCATTTGTAAAATGTACCATTGTATTACATACTCCTAGACAAGAAAAGCAATGTCAGTTATATTTTTAAGACATCATCAATTTTAAGGAGCATTCTGAGTAGAGATACAAAAATGTAAAACAAAAATGCACTTTGAAATCAATGAAAGGTAGTTTATTCTAATCCAAGGACTGTTAACTCTTCGTAATGATTTATTTTATGATTCAGATGAGTTAAAACACTCACATGCTTTGGCTTTTGATAAAGTGAAATTACCTAGGATTTTGCAAGGCCCAAAGATCTCTTCTTCAAATTTTGTAGGGGCTTTAAGAGGCCACAGCTACTGGGAAAAGGGTCTTGAGACAGGTTATCTGTTAACTCTAATTGTTACCCAAACTTTGCACAGTAGGTGTATAATCTCCATTTTACAGGTATGGAAACTGAAATTCATAGAAATTATAACATGCTTAGAGAACCTGCAGATGAAGTCTAAATAATATAATGTATAGCCCTTCATTGAGACCTTTAATTCATAGAGCACCAAATGCCTGGTTGCCGTACTATGTAGATACTTGATATTTTGTTGTAGGTCTCATAGTCCAAATGGCTACCTGTACATGTTTTGGAATGTAGAAATTATATTCCCATTATTGTATAATAAGAAATACAATTTATAACTTAGTCCAAATAAAGTTTCTAAGTCAATATTATTCGTTCATGTTATTATCCAATAAGCTACATGTGTAAACAGGGTATAAATCTGTTCCTCCTATAAAATGGAAGGAGGCAAAATAAAATTCCTCCTCCTCTCAAAATATTTTCTCCACAGACTGGTTGTCTATAATGCCTGTCTTTAAGAATTCATATTTTAAAAGAAAAAATATCTAGGAAAATAGAAGAATTAATACATATGTTCAAGAGATAATTCTTTGGATAAATACTAACAATTATAACAGAAAAAGTAATATACAAGATTCAGACTAAGAAAAGGAATTTAATTCTTTGTGCAGAGATAATTTGAAAACAAATTTAAGAGAATGCTTTAAGACAGTGTGTTAGCATTTTTCAAAGTGCCTAACTTAGAAAAATATTTGTACAAAAGAATGAATTAAACAGCAACATATTCTTGAACAAAAAAGTTTAAAAAAACTACTTTGTGCTCTTAGAGATTCTTAATGCATATCAGCTTTACAAACGCTCTGGATGAAATGGAAGGCTTTATTGGGAAATAATAAATGATCAACATTAACTCCAGAGGTCATAAAAAAAACCTGAAGAAATCATTGAGTTTAAAAGACAATAAAACATCTCTTCATGAAAAATTCATGCTTAAAGGGGTTATAGATTATAGTTCTATCAAGTCATCAAGGAATAGACAATTCTTATGCTATCTAATCTATTACAGGGGGATTTAAAAATGAAATTTTCTAATGCACCTGACAGGCTAGAATAATCCTGATATTAAAAAATTTAGAAGGTTAGAAACAACTACAGACCATGCTTACTTATAAATTGTGATGCATTATTGCTAAGTATTAGCAAATATAATCCACCAAGTAGGGCTCATTCTAGCTGTGCAAAGGTAGAATAATATAATGAAATCTTCCAATATAAAATGCGTTTTAATGCCAAGACTTTAGAACACAATAAAGGTTGGTTAAGATTTGTGGGTAGGCCGGGTGTGGTGGCTCATGCCTATAGTCCCAGCACTTTGGAAGGCCAAAATGGGAGAACTGCTTGAGTCCACGTGTTCAAGATTAGCCTGGGCAATATAGCAAGACCTCCATTTCTACCAAAAAAAAAAAAGATACAAAAAAAGAAAGTTATCTAGGCTTGGAGTGGTGGTGCATGGCATGGTGGTGCATGTCTGTAACCTCAGCTATTCAAGAGGCTAAAGTGGGAGGATTGCATAAACCCAGGAGTTGGAGGCTATAGTGAACTATGATGGTGCCACTGCATTACAGGATAAGTAATAGAGTGAGGTCTGTCTCTGGCTTTTTTTTTAATTTGGGGAATTAATAACTAAAAATTAGAGTATTAGCATTCAAACCGTGGCTACAATGAAGTATGGAATACTCTTAAACAAATTCCAAGTCCCTGAAACGCCATGTGATACTTTTTCTGTTATCTATGTATTATTTATTTATTTGCAAAGCAAAATACTAGCATAGTCCTGAATATTTGTCTTCCTTAACAGCAGCCATGGAGGTGATGCCACCAGCCATGACTGGTGTTGCTAATTTTCCCCCATTTTCCTCCTCCTCTTTTCCTTCTGTTTCTCCTCTTTTTTCTTCTAACTCTTCTTTTTCCTCCTCCTCTTCTTCTTCTCTCCAACTCCTCTTCTTCCTCTTATTCCTTCTTCTTAATTTTTTTTACTATGGTAAAATACACACAACATAAAATAAATCATTTTAACCCCCTTTAAGTGTACACTTAATGTGTCATTAAGTACATTCATGTGGCTGTGCAAACCATTCCTGATGATTTATTGATGTCCCATTCTGGAACCCCTAAACTCAGGCTGGGGCTAGCATAATCATTGCCAATATGCTTGAAAAGTGGAGAGTTGCAGACCTCTGAAATGCAGCTTGGTCTTGCTGGGCAAACCCTTCTGGGAGCTGATCCAGTACAGCTCAGCCATCACCTCCATGGACTCCTGCTATGCCGGAGCTCTCCTGCCACCACTGTCCCAGCTGCATAGTCATTACTGTGTAAGTGAAATAAGACTTGAGCGACTCTTTTCTTATAACCAGTTGAATAATTCTCCATTTCCTTAAAAATATTTTTCTTTCTGAATAGAAAGTGCTCCCCCATCAATCCTGCATCTTTACACTAGCAGTCCTGAAGCTTTTCCTAAGTGTTCAACTGCCTGTTGAGGCATTGCACATTTTCAAACACATTGCTGTTTATTGATACAATTGTACAGCCTTTTCTGGATCTACATTTTCTATGAGCTTTCCAGCTTGCTCCACCACTTCTGAGGTTGCTGGGTCAGGGGTGCTGTTTTCTCGATACATCACGCAGACTGGTTGTTTCTGCATCTCCTTCAACATCATGCCAGCTTGCTTGGAAGCCCTGCTTTTCCACATTCAAAAAAGGCACCGTCACAGTCTGGCTTCCATTTTGAAAAGGTAGTTTGCAGGTATTTATCTGCTTTGCCAAGGGACTCCAGCCCCTTATTTCTCTTTTGCACTACCATGTCCACATGGGCCTGCATGGTGGATGAGAAAGCCTATTTCTTTTGGGCCCTGACCAGCTGACCAGTAAGAGTTCTGGTCAGCTATTCATAGGATTTTCATTTCAGACATCATCAGTTTACTTATTCATGGTCTCTCTCCCTTATTTGAATATAAGCTCTATGTCAACTTTTCAATCACTGTGTCCCATGCCTGGCACATCACATGAAGATAAAAAGGTATGCAGGGAGAAGGGGTACAGAGTTTCCAAGCCCTCCCTTGTGCCCCAGTCTCTAGGAACGTCCAGATATTCAGCTATATAGAAGCTCCAAGATCCTGTCTCTTAAAAAAATTTTTTTTAAATGAAAGATTTGTGGGTAAAGGATGAATTATTTTTTGGATAACATTAGAAAATTGACTAAATATTTGAAACAAAATAAAGCTAAATACCCCATTTGAAATACCAAAGAATTTACAAGTAAATTAAGGATTTAAATATCAAACAGAACAATATCAAAACCCAAAGAAAATGTAGGTACATATTTTTATATTAGAATGAGAAAAGGCTTTCTAAATATGATACCTAAGGCAGAATTCATGACAATAAATCATTAATAGATTAAACTATATAAAACTTTCAATAGTTTTACAATTCCATAAGTGTCATAAGAACACTTCAAAAGCAATGAATTCAGTTGATAATTATATTAAATTTTCACTTATTCCCCTCTTTGTCTGTATCTCTTCAGTTGCTCCATGAAATTTCCTCATAGAATTATGGAATTTTAGAGCTCCTGGGGTCCTTAGAGATTATGTATTCATATTGCTTTATTTAAAGGAAGCTTGCACTTTAAGAAATTAAGATTGACTGAAGGTTTGTAGCAGAACTAAGGTTAGAACTGATTTCCTGCCCAGTATTAATTTTACTACATTACTGTGTTCTTTAACCAAAAGTCATAAAGAACATTGCATTTGTATAGGTACACACATATATATATAACTGTGAACACATACACACTCAAATACGCAGATTATTCTTGAGTTGAAGTTTGGGAAAAAGCACCTAGATTTGAATTTTGACTCAGTTGCTTACAAAGTAGTTGAGCTTTTGGAAGCTTCTCTGGCAATTTTTGAAATAAAAACAATTATGGTAATTGTAGTGATGTAGCTACCATTTATTGAACATCAACTATGGGCCAGGCACTGAGCTAAGGATTTGACCTATATGTTTTAGTCCTTAGTACAAGCCTACAAAGTATGAATAGTTGCCCTCACTTATAAATGAAGAACCCGTGCTTGGAGAGATTAAGCACTTTATTTAAAGTCACTCATCCAGGTCAGGGAGGAAACTGCTCTTGCTCTTTCCACAGTAGGTTTTCATTTGTAAAATGTAGACAAAATGTGAATGCGATGATGCATACAATGTGCTTAACACAGTGCATGATGTTTAGTAGATATTAAATAAATATCAGTCCCCTTTCCTCTTTAGGCAAGATCTAGGTTACATATTTAACTATGGTAGGAAAAGATGACACGCTGAGTTGACAAGAAATGGGAGAGCGGTACTCTGGAAAGCCAATATCATGAAATCCTATATTTCTCCTTCCTTCTAGGTCCACTTCACTTGTCTGAGGGTTCATTGTGATTGGTGGCCACATTCTCTCACCGTTAGAGTCCCATGGAACCTGATAGTCACCAAAAGAAGCCCTAATCCAAGAGTCTTTCCTCTCCTGCCTAATCCTTCAGTAAGGCAGCTGCTGACACCTCCTCCACCTAATACATATTTCTTAAACTTCTCCTGTTGCCAAAATCCTTTTTTCCTACTCGGGCCCAGTAGCCGTCACTATCAGGGTCTTTGCTGCCTCTTTTGATAGTTGATTGAAGCCTTGTGAAGTGGAGGAAATGCTTCACGTGATGGTGTAGGAGTGTGTGTTTTCATTGGGGATTATAACTGAGACTGCAGTTGGAAAGGATATATGTTCCTGGAGTTTTCTGTTGTAGTTCTAGTGCAGATTTAGATTCCATTAATATGACATAGTAGTATATGATGATTTAAATAGACTTAGGTGAGATGATGTAGAAATTCAGCCATTGTATAGAGCAGTGCTACTCAAATTGTGGTCTGTGGACATAGCACCAGCAGCAGCAGGAGCTTGTTAAAATGCGATTTCCTTGGGTTGCACTACAAATACACTGAATCAGGGTCTCTGGACTTGGGTCTCTGTGTTTCACCAAGATCTCCAGGAGATTTCTGGGCATGGTAAAGTCTGAAAAGCTCTGACCTACAGCACCATTTTCATAGCAAAATGTGTTGCAAGTTTCAGAGTAGCAATTTAGAAGTTAACACATTTATAGACAACCCATTATTAAGTGCAGGCATGGCTGACTTTATGAAAATGAGTAGAGGGCTATTGACACTGTCTCCAAGGAGTACATCAGATAGTAAAACCTCTCTTTCCAGTGTCTTCCACCCTTAAGACCATGATTCATTTGTACATCCTTGGCCAACATAAGGTTCCCACACGCACCTGATTTGTGAGAACAGAAAAAGGTACACTTATGCAGAAAAGCTAAAGTTTGGCTGAAATTTTTAGAATTTAGGTTTATTCCTGCCCCAACACGCTACTTCGGCAATCGTATTTTCACTTATATGTTGCCTGTATTCAGAAGGACAGACTGTTGATAAGGTTAATAAAAATACACATTCTTATGTATGTTGTGCTCTATTTTCAGCTTAGCTCAATTAACCCACTCTCAAGTGCCACTTCCTACCCAAACCTGACTGACCAAAGGCAAAGTTCAGATCTATAGGATTGCGTATTCCAAAAGCTTTTGGCACGGTTTTTTGCACATAGTAGATTGAGTGCTAATTGATTAATAGAGGTGATTTTTTTTCGTTTTCAAGGAAATGCTTGAGTTTTGTTTTAGAAAACAAATTGTTCTGTATTTTTAAAAAAACTCCTAGAGGTAATAAAAATATTAAAATGATTCTATGAAAAAAATTTAACCCAATAGCCTTGTTTTGCTTCAGTGCAACTTAACATTGCTTTTCTCTCCAATCCTGAGGGTGACATATTATCAGTAAGGGTGGGTACAGCTCTGATATGGTTTGGTTCTGTGTCCCCACCCAAACCTCATGTCGAATTGTAAGCCCATGTGTTGGAGGAGAGACCAACCTGGTGGGAGGTTATTGAATCATGGGGGCAGACTTTCCCCTTGCTGTTCTCATGATAGTCAGTGAGTTCTCATGAGATCTGGTTGTTTGAAAGTGTGTAGCACTTCTCCCTTTGCTCTCTGTCTCTCTCCTGCTGCCGTGTGAAGATATGCCTTGCTTCCCTTTCACCTGCCATGACTCTAAGTTTCCTGAGGCCTCCCCAGCCATGTGGAACTGTGAGCCCATTAAACCTTTTCCTCACAAATTACCCAGTCTCGGATATTCTTTATAGCAGTGTGAGAACTAATACAGGCTCTCTTCTAGAAGATGTATCAGAATCTCTGAGGGTGATATGAATACAGTTTGAATAAACCCACTGATAATTATGAAACTCCTCTGTTGATAGTCACAGTTATAAACAAGCAATAACTAGCTAGGATATATGCTAAAAAATGTACTTTATGTTAGCAACGATATTACAAAATCTCTAGAAATACCTTGAATAAAAAATGAGGGTGACCTATATGTAGAAAACAGCACAGTTTTACTGAGGGACATAGATTAAAAAAAAAGTAAGCCATTCAATGTTTTGAAGGAGTATGAGCTTTGAAAATTGTTCAACTCTTAAATTATTAAAAAGGCTTAATGCAATTTCAATTAAAATTCTGGTGAATTTTTTTCAAACTTGTTGAAAACATAATTTTCTTGAGAAGAAAACGGCAAAAATATTTAAGAATATTGATTTAAAGCAGAATAACAAGATAGGACTTAACCAAGTACACACACACACACACACACACACACAGACACACACAAATTTACTATATATATACACACCCAACTATCAATTTACTTACCCTATATATATATTCTCTATATATATATCCTATATATATTATAGATATATATAGTAGATATATAGAGATATACAGATATATATACCATATATATATATAGTAAGTATATATATTTACCCTATATATATAAATCTGTAGTAAGTGGATATATATATATCTACTTACCATACATATATATATATATGGTAAATATATATACTTACTATATATATAGGGTAAGTAGATAAATAGATAGGGTAAGTAGATAGATAAATACACTTACTATATATATATGTATACACACACACATACACATACACACACATGCTTACCCAACTATTTTTTATATATATATTTATGTATATATATATATACATAAATATATATGTATATGTAATAAATATATATGTATATATATATTACATATATATATACAATATATAATATATATAAAATATATATAATATTTTATATATATATTTATGTATATATGGTAAGTAGATAGATATAAAATATATATGTGTGTGTGTATATATATAGTAAGTGTATTTATCTATCTACTTACCTTATCTATTATCTACTTACCCTATATATATTATATATTTTAAATATTAATATTAAATATGTATTTTAAAATATTTTAATGATCAGGATTCTTTTATGATTTCAAATCTTTGCTGTGTTAATAGGATTTTTGGTTTTTTTCATCTCAATTACTTCAGACTGACAGTGCAATTACCTGAATTAATTGCTCAGTAATCTGACTAAATAAATTATATATATATAATATATTGTATATATAATAATATATAATATATATATTTATATTTTTTAAGGTAGAGACAGGGTCTTACCATGTTACCCAGACTGGCCTCAAATCCTGACCTCAAGTGCTCCTCCTGCTTTAGCCTCCCAAAGTGCTGGGATAAGAGGCTTGAGCCACTGTACCTTGTGGCAATAAAGTTTTAAAATGAATTTTAAAGCTAAACATTTTAAAAGTGTGTCATAGAGCAAGAATTGACCACAGATCTACAAAAGTGAAAAAGAAAGGTCACAACCAATTAAAAAATAGCAAAATATAATATATCGCATATTATATAATAAAGAGTATACATCAGCAGAAGAGAAAAGACTAATGTTAAAGATAAATGTTAAATTGGAAAATAAATTTGATAGGTTTTTGTGGTCTTAGAGCAAATGTGTTGCATCTAGCAGGAATGAATAAATATAAAACATTTTCAAATTTGAGATGATTTTCAAAATTGACACCATTAGTTATAAATTGCAAACTGGATTCAGACTGAGCTCTATTTAAAGCCTGTGTTCCACTACTCTGCCTTGGAATACAGGAGAAAAAAAGATAAGGAATAAGTGGTGGGGGGTGGGAGGTGTCTTTTATTCAGCCTATATTTATATCTTCTATATAAACTAAGACTTTAAGATCAACAAGTATTTTAAAATATTTTAATGATCAGGATTCTTTTATGATTTCAAATCTTTGCTGTGCTAATAGGATTTTCAATTTTTTTTCATCTCAATTACTTCAGACTGACAGTGCAATTACCTGAATTAATTGCTCAGTAATCAGACTAAATAAATTCCCTAACTGTGCTGTGTATTGACTTTGGGTTTCTAATACAGGGAAAGTTATATTTTGAGCCATTTGCAGTGAGATTCCAAGACATTCTTTTGAATAAAGAGATTAACTTTAACATCTTAGGAACAAATAAGAATGACTTTGTGCTGGTGGTTCTCAAGCAACTGCCTTACTCTGTCCTTTGTGATCAGAGCTCCTCTGGACCCAAATGTTTTTCTGATTCCACCATACTGCTCATTCACAGGATATAATAGAGATTTCAGAAAGAGCTTTTAGTTGTTAACGAGGAAGCAAACAAGTCGAGCAAGAAAAACCTCCCCATCACATACTAATTATTCTTGAAGGCATACTTTGATATTTTGATAGGAGAGTGGAAATCCAGGAAATGATAACAACTTCTTAAAAATATAAGGATATTTATAATCATATAACCTATCATATCATGACTGAAAAAGACCATTTAAGAGAAACTCAGAAATAAACTTGATATTAATTTAGGAATTAAGCCCTCTCTTGGTTAAATCAAAAACTGCAAGTGTGAGAGACTGTTTTGGATTTGACGAGTAGAGATGGCACGACAACACTAAGGCTTAGACATTCCAGCTCTCATATATAAAGTTGAAGATGGGAGCCTTATACTTTTGATGTTATATGGGAGGAGATGATGGAAAGAGGGAGTAAAATTTTATTGGGGATGTAAGTATTTGTATAGACTGAATTTAAAGAGGCCCTTTTGGGAAAAAAAGTTGAATGTTAAAAGCTAAAATGGAAATATAAATTAGAACTGATAGTCTTAAAGCAAAAGAATTGCCCTTGGCAAAAACAAATTTGTGTAAAGTATTCTCAAAGATGGATCATATTATCAGGACTGAGGAATAGCATCAATAAATAAATGGTTAAAAATAAAACAGGAGGAAAGAGCTAGTATAGAGTGAGTCTTGTGATACCTATAAATCAAATATGATGCCTGGCACTATTTATATCCTGATTTGGACAAATTTGTTTTTTAAAAAACACACATTTATGAGATAATCATGGAAATTTGAATGATTGCCTGCATATTTTATATTATTAAAAGATTTTTGATCTGCTTGGTTTTTAGGCATGATGTTTGTGTATTGTGATTATTTTTAAAATCTCCTATGTTTTAAAATTACCTTATAAAATATTTTCAAAGGAAATGATATGTGTCTGGAAGTTTTCTTTAAAATATTTTATTGCCAGCTGTGTTAGGGTATAGATAAAATGAAATTGACCATATGCTAATAATTATTGAGGCTAGAAAATGGGCGCTTCGGGTTATACTATTTTCTTAATTCTTGTGTGTTTGAAAATCTTTATAATATAAAGTTACAAAAGAAATAACAATGAAGATGAAGTAAATCAAACTCAGAGAACTAAAAGTTTTGTATTAAGTTTGGGAATACTTTTTTATTTTTAATTTTGTGGGTACATAGTAGGTGTATATATGGAGTACATGAGATATTTTGATGCAGGCATAAATGAGTAATAATCATATCAGGGTAAATGAGGTATCTATCCCCTCAAGCATTGATCCTTTGTGTTACAAGCAATTCAACTATACACTTTTAGTTATTTTTAAATGTACATTAAATTATCATTGACTAGTAATTCTATTGTGCTATCAAATACTCTATCTTATTTATTCTATATTTGTGCCCAGTAAGCATCTCCACTTCACTCCCCTCCCCCGCAACACAAAAAAAACCCTTCCCAGACTCTGGTAACCAACATTCTAGTCTCTATCTCCATGAATTCAGTTGTTTTAATTTTTAGCTCCCACAAACAAGTGAGAACATGAGAAGTTTATCTTTCTGTGTCTGGCTTATTTCACTTATGACATGACATCCAATTCCATCCAGGTTGTTGCAAATGACAAGATTAGCTACTCTCTGTTTTTGATTGGAGAGTCTAGTCCATTTACATTCAATGTTATTATTGATAAGTGAAGACTTACTCCTGCTATTTTGTTAGTTGTTTTCTGATTGTTTTGTGGTCTTCTCTTCCTTGTTTCCTTCCTTCCTGTCTTCCTTTTAATGATTTTCTCTGGTGATATGTATTAATCTATTGCTTTTTTTTTTGAGATGGAGTCTCAATCTGTCACCCAGGCTTGAGTGGTGCAGTGGCACCATCTCAACTCACTGCAACCTGCAACCTCCACCTCCCAGGTTCAATCGATTCTCCTGCCTCAGCCTCCCAAGTAGCTGGGATTACAGGCACTCATCACCACACCTGGCTAATTTTTGTATTTTTAGTAGAGATAGGTTTCACCATTTTGGCCAGGCTGATCTTGAACTTCTGACCTCAAGTAATCCTCCTGCCTCAGCCTCCTAAAGTGCTGGGATTATTGAGCCATCACACCCAGCCAATGTATTGCTTTTTTATTGTTTGTGGAACTGTTGTATGTTTTTTTATTTGAGGTTTCTACGACGCTTGCAAATAATATAACCCATTATTTTCAACTGATGACAACTTAACACTGATTGCATAAACAAGCAAAGAGAAAACTAACAAAAATTCTACACTTTAACTTCATCCCGCTTTTAAACTTTTAGTTGTTTCTATTTATATCTTATTGTACTGTATATTTCTTGAAAATTACTTGTCGTTATTATTTTTGATTGGTTCTTTTAGCCTTTCTACTTGTGAACAGTTTACACACCACAATTACAGTATTATAATATTCTGTTTTTCTGTGTACTTACTATTACCAGTGAGTTTTGTACCTTCAGATTTCTTATTGCTCATTAATGTCCTTTTCTTTCAAATTGAAGAACTCTCTTTAGCATTTCTTATAGGACAGGTCTGCTGTTAATGAAATGCCTCAGCTTTTGTTTGTCTGGGAAAGTCTTTATTTCTCCTACATGTTTGAAGGATATTTTCACCAGATATACTATTCTAGGGTAAAAGGTGTTTTTTTTTTTTTTTTCCTTCAGCGCTTTAAATATGTCATGCCACTTTCTCCCGACCTGAAAGGTTTCCACTGAAAAGTCTTCTGCCAGACATACTGGAGCTCCCTTGAATGTTCTCTCTCTCTCTCTCTTTCTCTCTCCCTCTCTCCCTCCCTCTCTTACTGCTTTTAGGATCCTTTCTTTATCCTAGACCTTTGGGAGTTTGATTATTAAGTCTTCTTTGGGATAAGTCTGCTTGGTATTCTATAGGCTTCTTGTACATGAACATTGATAACTGTCTCTAGCTTTGGGAAGTTCTCTTATATCCCTTTGAATAAACTTTCTACCCCTATCTCTCTCTCTACCTCCTTTTTACGGCCAGTGACTCTTATATTTGCGCTTTGAAGCTATTTTCTAGATTTTGTAGGTGTGCTTTTGTGCTTTGTTCTTTTTCATTCTTTTTTCTCTGACTGTATTTTCTTTCTTTCTTTCTTTTTTTTTTTTTTTTGAGACGGAGTCTTGCTCTGTCGCCCAGGTTGGAGTGCAGTGGCATGATCTCAGCTCATTGCAACCTCCGCCTCCCAGGTTCAAGCGATTCTCCTGCCTCAGCCTCCTGAGTAGCTGGGATTACAGGCACCCGCCACTACGCTTGGCTAATTTTTTTGTATTTCTTTTAGTAGAGATGGGGTTTCACCATGTTAGTCAGGCAAAGTGCTTGGATTACAGGCGTGAGCCACCATGCTCCACCCTCTGGCTGCATTTTCAAATAGCCTGTCTTCAAGCTTACTAATTCTTTCTACTGCTTGTTCAATTCTGCTAAGAGACTCTCATGCATTCTTCAGTATGTCGATTGCATTTTTCAATTCCAGAATTTCTGCTTGATTCTTTGTAATTATTTCAATCTCTTTGTTAAATTTATCTGATAGAGTCCTGAATTCCTTCTCTGTGTTGTCTTGAATTTCTGTGAGTTTCCTCAAAACAGCTATTCTGAAGTTTATATCTGAAAGGTCACATTTCTCTGTCTCTCTGGGGTTGGTCCCTGGTGGCTTATTTAGTTTACTTGGTGAGGTCATATTTTCCTAGACGGTCTTGATGTTTGCAGACGTTTGTCAGTGTCTGGGCATTTAAGAGTTATGTATTTGTTGTAGTCTTCACAGTCTGGGCTTGTTTGTACCCACCCTTATTGGAAGGCTTTCTAGGTATTCAAAGGGACTTGAGTGCTGTGATCTAAGTTCTTGGTCACTGCAGCCATATCTGCGTTAGGAGGCACCCTTAGCCCAGTAACACTGTAGCTCTTGCAGACTTATAGAGGTACCACCTTGGTGGTTTTGGATAAGATCCAGAAGAATTCTCTGGATTACCAGGCAGAGTATCTTGTTCTTTTCCCTTACTTTCCCCTAAACAAATGGAGGGTCTGTCTCTGTGCTGAGCTTCCTGAAGTTGAGGGGTGGGTAATACAAGCACTACCCTGTAGCCACTGCCACTGGGACTGTGCTGGGTCAGACCTGAAGCCAGCACAGCACTGAGTCTCGCCCAAGGCCTGCTGTAACCATTACCTGGCTGCCGCCTATGTTTATTCATGGCCCTAGGGCTCTACGATTAGCAGATGATGAAGCCAGCCAGCCTTGTGTCCTTCCTTTCAAGGTGGTGAGTTACCCTCAGCCCCAAGCGGGTCCAGCGATGTCATCCAGGAGTCAGAGCCTGGAGTTGGATATCTTAGGAATCCGCCTGGTGCCTTATTCTACTGCAGCTGAGCTGGCACCCAAACCACAAGTCAAAATCCTTCCCACTCTCCCTTCACCCTTCCATAAACAGAGGAGTCTCTCCCCATGGCCACCACCACCCCAGGCCTGTGGTGAGTATTGCCAGGCTACCGCCAAACTCACTCGAGGCCCAGTGGCTCTTCAGTCGGCTTGTGGTGAATGCTTCCAGCCCTGGGACTCACCTTTCAGGAGAGTGGGCTCTCCTCTGGTCCAACCCAGATCCAGAAATGCCATCCAAGACCCAAGGCCTGGAATTGGGGACTCAAGTGCCTGTTTGGTACTCTACCCCACGGTGGTCAAGTTGGCACCTAAGCTGATTTTTGCTCCTGATGAAGGCGCTTTTTTATGTAGATAGTTGTCAAATTTGGTGTTCTTGTGGGGAGGATGACTGGTGGGGGCTTCTATTTGTTCTTTTGCTTTGACAATCAGTAGAGGCATCTATTTGCTCTGGCTTTCCATCTTGCTCTGCCTTTCTAGAACCGTGGATCTGGGACTACATTTTGTAATGATTAAGCCAATCTCAAGTATATTTGCTATTTAAATATAATTTTAAAAAGTAATCTGACACAGTAAAGAACAAAACAGATTATCAACAGAGAGAAAAACAATTAGTTGTTAAATTATTTGCTCATAAGGCATTTATTATATAGGCACATAATAATAAGCTCCAATAATTAAAGAAGAGCTCCCATGTGGATGGTTGCCATGCAGTAGAGGACATATCATGAGGTGCAACATGGGTTACCCGAATTTACAGAGTTCATAAATCTAGAAGCAATGATAAAAACACATCACACGTACTCCAACTATAGAAAACAAAGAAGTAAGATTGATAGCAAAGGTAACAAATGTACTGTTTAGCAGGGGATCATGTGAGAGATTTATTTATATTAAGGCTTGATTTGATCTGTTAATGTGGTATATTGGACAGATTTGGATTTTTGAGTCAGGAAGACCTGAATTCACTATTTTTCATGAGAATTTGCACATATAATTCATTCTACATCTCCCTACTTTACATGTTATAATAAAAAATTGGCACACTGTGCCAATATTATATATTTATATTATGTATATATTTGTATAATTAACATAAAATTGGCATAATATTACCAATTTTATAGTACTTTTGTGGGTATTAATTGTTTTTCCATATATAAAGTACTTAGCAGAATGTTAGCTTTTCCTATCTTCCATCTGGGAACTTCTCTAAAATTTAATTCCTGATTGGGTTTTGCTTATTTAGGTAGTCTTTTTTTTCACAATTTTTAATAAAGGGGCTGACATGCTAAGTAAAATGAGTACAGGCATCATCTATTGATTAAATAGAGTAAATGCCCCTGGATTAGGAGGAAAAACACAAGCAGCCTCCAAATCTACCCTACCCTCTAGTGGCAAATCTGGATAACTGCATAGTTCTATCAAATTCTGTGAAAATAGATTGTGAATGTAAAAATGTTATTTTAAATAACAGTAAGTGTTTTTTTTCATAGGGTTATTGGCTGCATGTCCTTGTTTGGTCACTTACAGAACTAATTTCAAAAAGGAGTTAAATTTTAGAGCTGTGGTAACAAAACACTGCTAGATTTGCAGCAATTCTGATGTAATCACAAAGCATAATTTCCTTATTAATGGTATAGATTTCTGGGCCTGTGTTAATTTGAGAAGTCTAAATGCTATTTGGTTATTTAAACTCAATTTTGACTTCAAAAGCTTTTTAAAGATGAAGAAACTGAATATGTTATAGGGATAGAAAATAATGACAGAGAAAAAACAAAATTATCAACACTCTTTAAATGATACACATCATCTGTGCTTCAATCGGTGCATTTTGTAGCTATAGACCAGAATGTCATCAATACTAACGTTAGATACAAGGTTAATATTACAATTATTATGATACCCTCAGAAGCAGGATTTTTTTTCTCTATTATTTCAATTGTCTCCTTTGTTTCACATCTGGATAATCTGAAGTTGATACTAGCAAAGGTTTGTTTGGGGAAGAAATATATGTGTCAATAAGCTCAACCACATTGTAAGATATGAGAGTTGTCTCTAATAAGAGATATGTTATTCACTATATTTAATGAAATCAAAGAAAATAATAGGCCTAAGTAATCTAGAATTGTGGGTTGCTGATTATAAAGCACAGCCAAATGAAAGCAAATCAACGATAGTGCAACAAAATGTGATCTGTTTAAGACTCAAAACAGTAGTTCTCAAAGTAGAAATTCCTGACCAGTGGTATCAGCATTAGCTGGGAACTTGTTTGAAATGCAAATTCTTAGACAGGGCCTAGACCTACTAAAGCAGGAACACTGGAGATTGGCGAACTCCAGGTGATTCTGGTGTATGCTAAAAGTTGATGTTAGGAGACTATTCTCCAGGGCATTTCTTCATATCTCAGATCAGTTTTTGTCCCAGACTATCTTTTCAATGATGTGTGTTTAGTGAAAAGCCTTGAAAGACAGAAGACCGTCTCCCTCCAGTGTAGAGGGTAGATTTGTTCCTAACCAGTATAATAAAGATGTCTTCATATGGGGCAAAGATTGGACAGTTTTGCTGGCAGCCCCTTTATAAGATTGGGAGGTTCCTAAACTTGGAATTCTTCACTGTGACATAGGCTTATTGTATGTGCAACATCCACCTGGGTCCACTTCTGCATCTTCTCTATGGACTTGTGGAACAAGGAGAACGTGAAGGTGATGAGGTCCGCTGTGATACAAGTCCTTTGTCTTTGACCCAAGAGTTTCCTGTCTCCTGCCAGCATCTGTGAAATTGTGGCAGGCTACTTTGTTAGCCTATAAGACTCTTTGGGGTCCTTTGCAGTTTAGAACTACAGGACCAGAACACTCAATTAAAATGGATCTTTCTCACTTTAGCCACTTCTCTGCTCAGGTGTCATTTCCCAGGGGAGCTTTTTCTGACCACTCTATTTAAAATAGTATCTTGCACAGAAGAACAGATTTCTCACATTTTCACTTATTTGTAGGAGCTAAAAATGAAAAATATTGAACTCATGGAGATGAAGGGAGTACAATGATGGTTACCAGACGATGTGAAGGGTAGTGGGGAGGTAAGGATACATTGGAAATGGTTAATGGGCACAAAAATACAGCTCGATAGAGTGAATAAGATCTAATATTCTGTAGCACAATAGGGTGATATAATTAACAATAATCTACTGTCTATTTAAAATAACTTTAAAATTAGAACTGGATTGTTACTAACACAGAGAAATGATCAATGCTTGGGTGACAGATACTCTAATTACCCTGATTTGAATCATTACACATTTTATGCCTGTATCAAAACATCACATGTACCCCATAAGTATATACAATTATTATGTACCCATAATAATTCAAAAAAGAAAAAACAAATAGTGCCTTTTGTCATTCATTTCTACTCCATAACCTACTGTATTTTATCAGCAATTATTCTTACCTAATATAATAATATATCTGATTATAATTATCAACCTCCACCACTAAAATGTAAGCTCTGTCAGGTCAAGGGGTTTGTCTTTTGTTCCTAGAACAAAAAGAACACTGTTTGTTTTGATAAATATTCATTAGACATAAATATTAAACAAATATCAATATAATATATATGATTTAAATTTATCAAATGAATATATCTTTCCCAAGCAGTGCAGATTTAATAGGCCAAGAAGCATTTTTTTATTTTAAATTTAATCAGATCAATTTTTGGCCTGTTTTGTTAGTAAGTTCAGTCACATTTTGTATCATTGCCTTGACATGCATCTGGCAGAAGGCATATTAAATAGCCCCAGGATATACAATTTCCAGTGCCTTCTTAGCTCATTTTTGGTTTGAACTTGCTTTAGAGCCAAACCATTTGCAGATCTTCTAATCTTTTAACCTCCTTTGCTGATTTGACCTGTTTTGAATTCAAGTAGCTTTTGGAATTCTAAAGAATAGTAAGTACTTGCTGTGAGGTGCTGCAAAATGAAGGCATGAAGCACAGAATTCTAAATTCACTAGAATGTACATTAATGAAGCTCTCAGAAAAGGAATATTAAAGCTTAGATGATTGAAATTATTTGTCAAAATATTTATTGAAAGAAATGTAATTCTTTTTCTGTGTGCCTATATCTGGATACACACATTCTCAGTAGAAGTATATTTATTTGTAAATGTGTATTTACAAATATATAGTGTATACACACACACGTATATACACTCACATAATGAGCATATGTTCTTTATCTTCAGTGTCTTATAACCTTAACTAAAATATTTGAGATAAGGATTCACAAAGCAGAGCCACCCAACTCCCAGTAAATGTTCTTGGATCATACCTTTCCAATTAGTAGGTACTGACTTAGCTACAGTGACATAAATTGAACAGTAAGATAGTAAGTCAGGTAATCTACTGGCACACATGAATTGGGTTTACTCCAATAAAGAACAAGGGATTCTTAGCACTTATAGGAAGACCTTTGAGGAAATTTAGAAAAGCATAGATGTTTTTCTTAAATATTGAACTCACAGATATGGCAATTCATATCATCCAGCTGGCTCTCCAGATCAACCATATCTGTAAGTTAAATATTAAACTCACAGATATAACTGGATGATATAAACAGATGAGAAGAGAACCTGGGCAGAATGAGCAGAGAAACCAAATGAATACAGGACGACAAAATTTTTCACATGCTCTTGGTCTTGAAAACAAACCTTGAAGTAAGTACACAAGAAGGTTAAAATTCAGAGAAATATAATTTACTAAGTGACAAAATGTAAATATTAAAATAAAATTATTAAATGGAAGCTGGCTGGTTTCTGAGATTTGGCCTTATTTGGTTCAATAATTGTATGTAAGCTTTGCTTTGCACACTTATGAATATGCTTTTATTAGGTTACTGAAAGGTAATCAGACTTCTAGGAACTGATTTATATGAAACAAAACCACAAAGAAGACCTGATAAGCCAGAGTATCAATGTTTTATGTGAGCGGAGAAATTATCCATTGTTCTGTAATCAGATACTTATATAGGCTGCTCTACCAATTTCCCATTTAGTAGATGAGTCTATCTTGACTCACCTACTATAAGTTATAATAACTTATAATAGCCTATAAGTTATTATAAGAAGATTGTCTAATATGTAAGAGCAAAGGAATAATAATCCTAATAAGTAATACCTTGCAGTTATAAAACCAATAATGGTGGGTAATATTAATTAAGCAATACCACGGATCATACGCTAATTATATTAAAATGCTCAATATAAAGAAGCCATTCAATAGATATTTGTTCAAGAAATAAACACAAAAATCCTCACAACTCTGGGAGGTATACACTCACTATTTTCAGTGAAGGAAATTAAAGCTCATGAAGTTAATAACTTTTCCCATTTATTAAATGGCTGGCCAGGAACTCGAATCCAGGTCACTCTGACTCTCCGTGTTTATAACAATTTTGTTAAACGGGTTGCTTGAAAATGTATGTATTCTTCTCCACCTTCACACTGGCTAGAATACTCTGTTTTAGGCTTTCATTTATCCATACCTACTATAGATTTTATTATGGGATTACCTTGTTATGATACTTTGCATTGTTTAATAGTTTATTTTAGTGATAATTTAAAATCCTTGAAATTTTGGACTCACGGTTATCATCAGCAACCCACTTGTAAACTACTTCGCAGGGTGGGTTATTTCAGCAAATAGTTAATCTCATCTGTATTTTTATTTTTATTTATTTATTTATTTATTTATTTATTTTGAGACACAGTCTCTGTTGCCCAGGCTGGAGTGCTGTGGCACCATCTTGGCTCACTGCAACATCTGCCTCCTGGGTTCAAGTGATTCTCATGCCTCAGCCTCCCAAGTAGCTAGGATTACAGGCATGTGCCACCACACCCTACTAATTTTTGTTTTTTTAGTAGAGATAGGGTTTTACCACATTGGCCAGGCTGATCTCAAACTCTTGATCTCAGGTGATCCACCCACCTCAGCCTCCCAAAGTTCTGGGATTACAAGCGTGAGCCACCACACCTGGCCTCATCTGTATTTTTATTTGTTTTTCAGAATGTTACTTTCAAAAGAAAATTCTAGAGTGGCATCCTCCTTGTATGCTTTAAATACTTTTTCTGGTTTGGCTTAGATTATATATAGCTTTTAGAATTTTTCCAGTAGGGCTAGGATAATGGACAACTGAGATATGCAGGTAATGTTTGCACCTGGAAGCTCAAGTCCCTTTCTATGTCTTCTAATATCTTCCTTTCTTTACCTCCTTCTTGCCTCCATTCCTGCTTTTTCCTTCTAATATCTAACTGCTACTTCTCACTTTCTCTCACACTTTCAGAGAAAGCTTACATTCAACTGGCATTTTTCTTTCACCAGATTTCTGTGTACACTCTAGAAGCTGAGATACTCAGTATTACCCTGAATAATACTTGCTAAAACCCTTAGCAATCCCCCTTCCATTTTCTCCCGCAGACAACTCTGGAAATATCTGACACTGTAACAGAGCTTTTCATATCAGCCTTGTGCAGCAAAAGGAGAAGAATACTTGGATTAGGAGATGTTGATTCCATCTCTAACACTGCCAACTGTATGACCTTTATCAAAGTGCTGAACTTCTATTAACTTTAATATCCTCACTTGGAAAATAATAGGATTAGACTAGATAACTGCTTAGATCTCTTCAAATTCTAAAATACCATGATTTTTAAAAATATGAGTCATGTTATTTCTAGTGGGTTTTAGATTGCAACACGGTTCTCGGTTCATATGTATTGGTTTTCATGTGAGTTATGCACAAAAGCATAGAAAACTACCTGCAGCCTCAAGACAGTGTTAGACAGAATTTTGGAGGGAAACGTGAACAACAATATGATGATACAAGTTTAGAGGTGTATTTGAGGCATAATAAAGAGAAAACTTGACTGGAAGGGCGGCTACTAGTTAAGGTAGTTGGAAAAGAGATAGTATATGTAAGTAACCAGCTTTATGAGGATTTTACATGGTAGGTTGACCAATTTGAACTTAGGTGGAACAATGAAGAGGATTTTAGGAATCAATTTGGAATGTTAAGCAGAGGCAAGAGAAAGGTAGACCATTTAAGATGCTACTTTAACAGTTCAAACATTGTGTGTTGACAGCTATCATGATGGAGAAGGAGATGAAGAGCTGAGGTTTTTTTTTTTAACTGACAAATAAATAAATATGAAGTACTGGCATATCTTATCTCAAAAAAATTTCCTAGGTCTCTGCATTGAAAAGTCCTACAAATAACGACCTAATAACAATGATCATCCTCACTTATAGAATATGATCTTGTAAAATTCCACATTAAAAAGGAATTGGGACCTCTTAGGGAAATAACTGAGCAGAAGCAGCAAACATTCAGGATGACAGGTTTGGTAAAAGAACTTTGGAGCCAACTTATAGAAGCTCTCACAAGAAACAGAGGGTATAATTTTAATATCAGTAAGGATAATAATCCTTACAGATTTGAAACATCAAATATGCATAGAACCATATATTTATTATAATACTAAACGAAGAAAAACCAATTTTGGAAATTCATAAATAAAGGGAAAGAATCATGGATTTTGGATAACTTAAATATATGTGACAACAATTCCTCTTTATGGAAGTATTCAGTTAATAAACGAAGAACTGATCAAATTGGAATGCCACCATTTTTAATCTCCTAATTAACTCTTGGGTTTGTGTATTGAAAAGCAGTAGTCTCTGACATTCTAAAAAAGAGAAACAGCTGTGCATTGTCAGCCTCATTATAGTAGAACACCATACGGTCTATAAAATATTTTTTTTTTAAAATCTTAATCTTATTAAGGTTATAATTTACAGTACTGGTTCTTAACTTAGTAGGGTGGGCATTTTGCCATCAAGATGATATTTGGCAATGTCAGGAGACATAGTTGACTGTTACAACTTGGGATGTGTGTGCTGCTGGGATCTAGCTAGAGATACTGCTAAACATCCTCCAATACTCAGGACAACTCCAATAATAAAAAAATTACCTTGAAGGTTGAAAAATCACCTATTGGGTACAAAGTTCACTATTTGGGTGATGGGTGCACTAAAAGCTCAGACTTCACTGCTGCATAATATATCCACGTAACAGAACTGCACTTGTACTCCCTGAATCTATAAAAATAATTAGAAAAGAATATTCAATTAGGGAAAAAATGACCTTACCAAAAATATCAATAGTGTTGAGGTTAAGAACGCTTGAGTCACAGGAAATATGAAAGGCGAGGAATGTGGAATATAATCAGCAAAATTCCTATGGTATGAAACTACAACACAAACCACAGTTTCTTCAACAACAAAAACAACAACAAGGCCAGGTGTACTAACTCACCCCTGTAATCCCAGCACTCTGGGAGGCTGAGGCGGGTGGATCACAAGGTCAAGATTTTGAGACCAGCCTGGCCAACATGGTGAAACCACATCTCTACTAAAAATACAAAATTAGCTGGGCGTGGTGGTGTGCACCTGTAATCCCAGCTACTGGGGAGGCTGAGGCGGGAGAATCCTTTGAACCCCAGAGGCAAAGGTTGCAGTGAGCTGAGATCATGCCACTGCACTCCTACCTGGGTGACAGAGCAAGACTCCGTCTCAAGAAAAAAAAAAAAAAAGGGCAAGGGCAAATGGACCTGTATATCTAAAGAAACATGAGACAACATCAAGTAATAAAAGATAAAGGCCTTATTTGAATTTCAATCTAAACAAAGTATAAAACATTTCATAAATAAACATTATTAATGAAATAATTGGAAATCTGAGCACTGGCTAGATATTTTTAAAATTTTAGATGTAAGAACAGTATTATTATGTTAAAACAGAGGCTTTATCTTTTAGTAATTCATCCTGAAATCCTCATGGATGAAATATGTGATGCTTGAGATTTGCTTCAAATTAAGATGAGAGAAGTGGCTAGAGATACAGATAAAACCAGATTATGAAAGAAGGCTATGTATTGATAATAGTTGAAACCGAGTAATGCATACAAAGGGGATTATTAAACTGTTCTGTCTAAAATTATCTATGTTTAACAGTTTCTATTTTACAAAGGGAAAGGATAACTAGAGGAGAGGCGGTATTCAAAGTTGATTCCAGAGTCTCACTCCCTGGTTACTGGGAGAACTTCATTAACTTGACACTTATTTGGCTCAGAGATGTGGGGATGATGAATTTGAGTTTGAAATGATTGAGTTTGACATGGCAGGAGGTTGCCCAAGGAGTGATTACAGCAGGCAGATAGAAATAAACACTTGAAAATTGTGATTACAGCAGGCAGATAGAAATAAACTCTTGAAAATTAGCTGATAAATTGACAGTTCAAATTAACAAATGGGAGATAGCAAAGCTGCTGTAGGAGCAATAAGATAGTATTTAATTGTGTTCAAAATCCAAACCAAAACTTCCTGTATCTGCTGAGTACCGACTAAAAGAAAGGCAGTTAGCTGGAATAGCATAGGAGACTGCAAGAATCTAATGATTGTTCTTTTCTCGAGGAAGTAGAGTTGATAAAACATCTGAGTCCTCAACTGCTTCCACCACCATGAACATTTGTAACTAGTCACCGACATGTTCATGTCAGTTTAGTAAAGTCTAACAACAAAGTTCACTGAAATATTGAAATAAAGTCTCCCAAGTTATCTTCTTTTAGCAATTTCTTGCTTAAAACAAATTAAGTTTGGGGCTTCCTAACAAAGGTTGAGGGATGTGACAATATAATAAACATTGTTAACAGGTTTTTGTGAATACTCACTATGTTTTATACACTATGCTGGGTACAAGATATTCCTTATCTCATTTATATTTTATACATCAAACCGTAACATAGTATAATAGGTGTGATCTGAATAACTTAATTGCATAAAATATGAGGTCACAAATTTGTGGGGTTAATAAAATTTCCAAGGTAAGGCTGTGTGTGTTTAGAAATTTTGAAAGTTTGGGTGAGCCTTTTTTTTTGTTGTTACTGATGGCAGTTGTACATCCTAATTGATATATCAATGGGGATGTTTCTGGATCCTGTGGTTTCCAGCACTGTGGCAGAGATTTCAAAAATAGTTTGGTTAGTTGGTGCCTATTTGGTGGTCAAGACCCAAAAACATGAGGGCAGAACAATAATAATAATAATAATAATAATAATAATAATAATAATAATAGAGCATACCCTTTTCTTCCCAAATTCCTGACTCAGGGTTGACTTCATCTGCTGCTTCCCAAACTACCCTTGCTCTCCACTCCCTGGGAAGTGAAAGTGAGTTGATTCAGTTTATATCCCAATTGGCCTTTCCATGGGGTTAAATATGCAAAATAGCAAGTGATAGGCCCCACTACACAGATGGAAAGACTTAGCTTCATCAACAATAGAAAGCAATATACTCAGTATCAAGTGTACATAAGCAGAGCGAATATGAAGCCAACACTGTCCTTTAGAAACACTTATGGCTCACAGCTCATATATAAGTGAGTTCAGAAGAGAAACTGAATGGGAAAATGAGAAGTTTCACCTCCCCAGAAATATATTCTCTCAAGTATTTCTAGATAAATTTCCAGGTGAAAAATCAAATTTCTTTAAATTAAAAAAATTCAAAATGACAAATGGAAGTTTGTTGATGCCAATATATTTCTAAAGTCAAAATTACAGAAAGAAGCACTGCATGTCAAACATTATGAAAATACTATGTATGAGAGAATAAAGTATTTTGGAAAAACAAACGGATAATTCTTTAAATCCAGAACTACTTTTTATCTTCTGATATCATAGAAACAATGTCATTGTAAACTTCTTGAGGGGCATCCATTGCCCAGATAAAGTCCAAGTGATTGTAAAAAGGAATCTCCTTGTGGTAAATAAGATTGGGGAGTTTTGGAAGCAAAAGGCCAACATCTTGGGGGTCAGCCAACAGGTCCTTGCCACCGTTCCACACTGCAATTGGTACATTCATGGCTGTCACATTGTAGTAGGGAGGTTGGGACTAGAAAACACAAGAGAAAGAACCAGAGTTTAGGTAACCACACTTTAAACCCAGTACTTACTATTCAAGTAGAGTGTATAACATTAACTGGCGGTTTTATAAGTGAATTCTAGCAATGATTGCACAGAGAAAACCACCTTTATCCACAGAGCAAAGTGAATGCAATATGTTTTAGATAAGTGCTTGTCAAATTCTAATGGGCCTGTGAATTACCTGAAGATCTTGTTGAAGTAAAAATTCTGTTTCAGTAGATCTGGGGAACAGCCTGAGATTCTGCATTCATAGGTGATGCTGATGCCATTGGCTCCAAACCATGCTCTGAATAGCAAGGCTTTGGACAGTAAGTCTTACAAATTAAGAACATAGATTGCAACTCAAGCTAAGGGAAATGGATTTGATTAGATTCTAATTGTTAATAGGTTGTTTCTACCCAAACACTCTAAAATATGATCTCAAAATGTCCTGAGTCATTTATTTTGGCTTTGTATTGACTTCCCAGTTATGGTCAGGGGATAGGTCAGTTGTTTCAGTTATGGAGCTGTAATTGTTGAATACTTACCTGAGTATTTACAAAATGTTGCTTCAAATTCTGAGAAAGGGTATTATCATCCCCATGTCCTGTTTCTCGAAAATCACAATTCACACATAGATTTTAAAGAGGTTTACAAAGCAGAAAAAGGAATAAGAGAATTATCTCAAATTTTCTTGCTGCCCAGAGAGAATTTTGTTAGATTTTTTTAGATCATAGTTTCAAGAATAGTAATCCAATATACTAAAAGTTTCTGTATTCTCACATTTTGTGTAATAGCCAACTTGCCATAGCAAAATATTTTATGATATGTAATTTTCCCTAATATTTTCATGATTTCTATTATATTTCCTAAATATTAGAGAAAAGGGAGTGTGTGGAGAATATTCATAATTATAAACCCAGCTTATTTTACTTACATCCTATTATTCAAAGAGTTTTCTAGATGCTGGCCCTGGCTCTTAAATTAGTGTCATTGCTTCAGTTAGTTAAAGACCAACCTGGTATATTATTGGTTTAGTTGGAAGAAGGGTGGACTTGGGGACTGGGTTTCTTGTTCCTCTAAGATGAAGTCCTCTGATTATGAGTATTAGAGTCCAGTAGAAAGAGAGACTCAAAGCAAGCCTGTGTGTTTTGGAGATTTGAGAAAGTGATGGTGGAGGAAAAAATGTTTTCAACAAAAGTTTGATCTCATGCTATTCTGAAAACTTTAAAGATATCAAAAATGCAAAATCAAGGTTGGGGGGCACCTTCTCTACACATAAGACATTGTTGTTAAAACATATAAATTCCTTCTAAATTTTAAGTCATGGAAACAAATGAAAATTAGTAGAGTTGTTCAGCTACTACTTGGATGGAAAAATTGGATGTGGTGAAAAGGAAGAAGAGAAGGTTACAAAATACTATAGGGTGCTTCCCTTGTTCAAAAATAGTCAGTGATAACCCGAGAGCTTACCCTGAGCTAAGAGCTTATAGATATTATAGCACTAAATCCTGTCAACAACTTCCTGAGCCTGGGTGGAGAGATGAAGAAATGACTGCCCAAACTCATATTGACTGCAGATAAGATAAGCTCCAAAGTCTGGATTCTTATTACAGCAAGTGTGAGGACTGCTTAATATGTCTGCCTATGCCAAAGGCCTCTGCCTATTGTAAAATATTTCCAGCCTTGACCTGCAAGCACGGCATCTTTTTCTTCTATTTGGGAATATATCCCATTGAAATCACTCCTCTGGCTGTCAACAAAGGAAAGGGTATTGTTTAAGAAGACCAGAAATTCCATGAACAGTTAGAATTATTAGCTTATTATATCAGGTATTAGTACTTCAGAAAGGAGAGGACAGTGTGCTGGGGATCTGGGATATGGGACAGGTCTGTGTAATGGCAATGGGTAGTGGTAAGTCCTGGGAAGTCTCTCACACACAGGGGTGTAGTACTTTGAGGGCAGCTTTGTAAACCTCTTTAAATGAGCGTAGCCACCAGAGCAGGAATGCATAGTCATGTGGGAGAATGAGAGACAGAACATCAACATTCCTTTGGAAAACAGATGCGCAGTTAACATAATTTCTTCTTTAACATTTAAATAGTTAGTATTGTTGTTCAAAATGTGAATAATTCCATCTTTAAGAAGCTTACCTGATCATAGTGCATCCTATTCTGAACTGGGCTTCCCCAGTCATAAGCTTGGAATTTCCCAGACTTAACAGCCTAACATAGAGAAATTAAAAGCAAACAAATAAAAATTATTATATTGTGAAAAATAAAATTCAAACATTTCCAAGCAGTTTATTTTCAATTTAAACAATTATTAAGAAACATTTTTCTCATTCCAAAAGATTATTAATAATCTAGGACAAGGTATTTATGTAAGTTTAAATGCAGCTTCACTCAAAATAATTTTTCTTGCATACCAAGTCATAAAAAGCATTTGCTGGGGGGAGGGATAGCATTAGGAGATATACCTAATGCTAAATGACGAGTTAGTGGGTGCAGCACACCAACATGGCACATGTATACATATGTAACAAACCTGCACGTTGTACACATGTACCTTAAAACTTAAAGTATAATAATAATAAAATAAAATAAAAAGCATTTTCTTCTTTGAAATAAATTCATAGTTATTTTTGTATGGTAGTCAGTGCCAGAAAAATTACCTTCCAGGTGTACTCAGCAGGATATTTTAAGAATGTGTTTAGGTAAAGTGAAAAGGGTTGAGACTCACAAAATACATTTTAACAGCATTTGGAAAAGAATACCTGGGTCCAATGGAACATGTTTTGAACAGAAGTTCCTGCTGGATTATGTGATAGATACACATCCAAGCGACTCTAGAAATCAACAGACACACATATTATATACATACTAAGACACATACTCAGTTTCTTAAAAACAGTAAAGATTTATGTTTTCTGATTCAGGTCAAGTGTTTAAAGGTAGCATTTACTGGAAGGATATGAACAACACATTTGTATGTCACTTCAGAATTTGCAAAGTGCAATTGCATGTGTTAACCCATTTAATTTGTAGCTGCCTAATGAGGAGAACTTATTAGTTCCATTTTATCAACATGAAAATTGGGGCACAAAGAAGTTTAAAGAAATGTCCAAGATCCACACAGAATGGAGACAGATACTTTAATTTGGGTCTCTGAGTCTAAATTCTCAGCTTTTATGCTTCTCTACCCAGTGCTAGAGTGCTGTAGGTTAAATATTCACACACAGGCCTCTTGCTTTGCAGAACCCCAAGCAACAAACTGAAGTTCCTTTCTCCAGTTGCAGAAGGCCACTTCATAGTGACTCTTAATGCCATTAATATAGCGGACTGTGGCCATAGTGAAACAAATTGGCCATCTTCATTGGAGACTGAAGATGGTCTTCTGCAAATTATTACGCAGAAGATGAAATCTCTAATTTCCTTTGTTTCCTTTGTCTTATTTTACTATTATTTTTCTTATAAGACTCTCACTAATGGAATACAGTAATTTGTTCTGCCTTTTGTTCGTGTGATGAGGACAGGCTACTCTCTGTTAAACTCCACATATGGAATGACAAGTAACCACAACACTTCATAGAATTATACCTTCTTATCAATAGATGTAATTTTCTTAGGTGTTCAAGGGTATATAACTAAAGTGACAATTTGGAGGGGAGATAGTTGTCTATGAATAGTAGTAGAAAACCTTATATGCTATTACTATGTGCTATATGCTTTGTACAATGTTCTATATGCTTTAAACATACTAGCTCATTTGATCTTCCCAATAACCCATTTTGTGGATGAGGAAATCAAGACAGAGACGTTTAAGTCAGTTCCAAATGTAGGGTTTGAATTTAAACTGATCTAAATCCATACTCTTAACTATGATAGTGTATTTTGTCCATATGTTTTGAAACTCCAACTCAATACAAAGTGAATGAAAAGGTAGATAAAGAATATGGGCAAAGTCAGCCGGGCGTGGTGGCTCACGCCTGTAATCCCAGCACTTTGGGAAGCTGAGGCGTGTGGATCATGAGGTCAGGAAATTGAGACCATCCTGGCTAACGCGATGAAACCCCGACTGTACTAAAAATACAAAAAATTAGCCGGGCGTGGTGGCGGGCGCCTGTAGTTCCAGCTACTCGGGAGGCTGAGGCAGGAGAATGGCGTGAACCCAAGAGGCGGAGCTTGCTATGAGCCGAGATTGCGCCACTGCACTCCAGCCTGGGTGACAGCGAGACTCTATCTCAAAAAAAGAATATGGGCAAAGTCTTACATAAATAGTTGCTCAGAAATATAGTCTGTAAGATTTATCAAAATGACTGTCAGCATTAGAAATATTTATTGAAAACATTTATTCAATATCTAGACATTTTTCTCACAAAGGAGCCTGCTAAAATATATGGTTCAGTCCTTTCTCTTACAGAATTTAAATGTAACACCTAGTATTTAGGTGGTCATAAGTGAGTAGTGAATTGTGTTTTTTCTTCATGTTGTTTATTTGGTTTAGGGGCAACTGGGGTGATGGAAGGATGCTGGAAGTGATTAAATTGGGAGCAATGATTTGTGATTTCTCTCATGTTTATCAGGATATCGCAGTTCTGAACCTACTCCTAGTTCTCATAAAGTACCACTTCTAAGTGGCAATGAAACAAGTAATCAAAGATGTTGCTCAAAATATAGAAATTGAAATGCATACTAACCGTGTTAAAGTTCTTACTGTCAAATCCACAAATTATAAATAAGGCATTGCTGCAAAGGAGATTCAGCATCTCACGGGAGCACACTTCAGTAGCAAGAAATTGATCAAAGAAGTTGTGTGGGTAGAATATTTTGTCACCAAATATAAACTGAAAAATAAAGGCACTATTAGAGGGTTGTAGCAATCAAGCTGCAGAAAAGACTCACTAGTTTATCTAATCTACTTATACATGTGTGATGAGGATGATGATATATTCTTATTCTTACATGTTGTTTTAGGAATTTCCAATACTTTCATTTAGTTAATTCCCTAATAAAGTTGTGAAATGGGCAGCACAGATATCAATACTAGGTATCTATTGTGGCACTGAGAACTGTACTGGCTGCTGAGAGGAAGTATAAGACACAAAGAGTTACAATCTAGTTGGGGTGATAGGAGTTGTGGGATAAAATCTTAAAAACACATGACAGACTGTCATAATGAAGTGCCAAGATGTGAGATTTCAGCAATAAATTGTGAAAAGTTTGGGAGGAGAAATGGTGACTTGGCCATATTTTCAGCAAAGCCTTTACAGAGGCAATGAGGCTCAGTATAAGAATTGAAAGAGTTTGCCCCAACTCTCTTTGAGGAAGGCAGATATTTTGTCATCTCTATTTTATACACGAGGAAACATGAGGTTAACATGAGTTAGGGTCTTGGGCTAATTAGAGCTCGATTATACCTAGAATCCTTACCCAAGCCTCTAACTTGAGGTCTATTGCTTTTCTAAATTTTAATCTACGTCTGCATTGCCTATCAGAAAATCTGAGTATGAGTAGGAAATAAGTTCTCAATCAATGTAGCCAATAAATATTTCTGGGCCATCAAAAAATTTTAGATTTTAATAAAAGTTTTCCAAATGTAGTTTGCCTATAGGTAAGTTCTCTTAGGCTTTAGACATACATATTAATACAGAATGAAAAGAGATGAATAGTACAAAACCATAGAAGGAAATGGAATCCTTATATTTTATAACCTGAGGCTAAACCGTTCCCCTAAAGGAAAGAGAGAGAGAGAGAGAGAGAGTGTGTGTGTGTGTGTGTGTGTGTGTGTGTGTGTGTGTGTGTGTGTTGGTTTTACTGGGTGAGAGAATTAGGGTATTAAGCATTGTCAAACAAAACGATTAATTCCATAACATGTGTGCCTACTGCATAAGGCACTTAATATTTATAATTTATTGAAATCCACACCACTGACTTATGAGATCGCCCATTTAAAGATGAAGGAGCTCTTAGGAAAGCCAAAAGGGAAAGCCATGAGAGATCTCAAGGTGTTTGCCTCACTCAATCACTGATTTATTTCCTCCTTTTCTCCCTTTCCCTCCCCTTCCTTTCCCTCCTCTTTCCAGTCTCTCTGGCCCAAGTGGGTTAGTCTTCTCATTTGACTATTTTGTTTTGTTTTTATTTCATCTTCCCTCCTCCTGGAGTGGAATCACAGCCTTGACACAACTGTGTAGAGTGCTTAATAAACAAACCATCTGTGAAAAAGCAAAACTACTCCCAGGCATTGCTGACTCACATGAAGAACAAAGAAAGAAAGGGGGATCTCGCAGGCTGTAAGGAGATTCAAACATGGTCAGTGCTATGGAAGAAATAATACAGATGCGAACAGTTCCATTTTTGGATATAAAAATGATTGTTCTCTTTTTATAACTCTGTTCTCTTTCTATAACTTTAAAATCCATGGGCAATCAAGGGTCTTAGATTCACTTAATTAAAGAGAATTGCATACCTTGAAGAGGGATTGAGGAACAAATCTAAGTTTGTTTATAAGGCTTTTTGTATACTTCACAGTGGCAACAGGAGCTAGAGCATAGAAGGTTTTGATTCTTTTAGCCAGGCTGGGATTGGTGGAAAAGGCAATAAAACCTGAAAAAGAACAAGGAACTGGTGAAAAAGGTGTGTGTGTGTGTTGTTGTTGTTGTTTTGTTTGTTTTTATAAGTGTGACATTATTTTGGACTTACTAAGGATGGTGTTTGAGACAGCCTGAGAAATTGGCATCTCTGCTGGCTCAGTGATTAGATTTTGGTATATTTGTTTTATTTTCATAGATTTTTCTATGGGGACATGAGGCTGGAACGTTTTAAAAGTTATCATAAACCTTTATCTGACCTTAGAAAATAGACCAAATTTAGGATACTCATATGGTTACAAAAAATTTTTTTATGAATTTCTTTATGAATTTATATTTTTTATGAATTTAAATGTATCTCATTACAATGAGATAATTAATTAACACTTAATATGAGTAGAGTATATAAGTGGAAAGGTTAAGAGTAGAAATTTAAATATGACCAAACTCAATTTGAATCCTGGCTCTGTGGTTTATTAGCTTTGTGACCTTGGACAAGCCACCTAATCTCTAAGAACCACTGTTTCCCTCTCTGAAATACAAGGATAGTGGTGAGTGCTTCATTAGATTGTTAGGAACTAAAGGAAGTAAATCATGTAAAGAAAGAATTTATCATGATTCTTGGCACATAGTAAATGCTTGATAAATAAGGACCCAAGAGAATTCAAATATCTATACATAGTAAATACATTCAGTAATGAATTAATTTTGTAAGCAGTAGTATACTGGCAGATGAGGATGTGATCAAGTAGTTATCAAGTTTAACGCTGCAGTATAGCTACATAGGCAAGGCCCTCCCACTGTCAATAATGACATATCGATGATACTCAAGAATGGCCTAAAAAAAACCCTTTCAGATATAGACAACTATATAATATGTAGTCTGGTTCTATTTGTGGAAGAATGGTTTTTCCAAGAACACCCTTCATCCAGGTCACCACCATCTCCTGCATGGGTACTATAAGAGTCCTCTAATTGGTTCTCTGCTCCTGCCTCTTTGCCCCTGGCAACAAAAGGGATCCTGTTATGAATCATGTAACTCTTCGATTCAAAATTATTCTGCAGTTTTCTTTTTTTATCAGAGTGAAAGCTAAAATCCCTACAACAGCCAAAGAGCCCCGAACAGTCTTTCCTCCCCAACATCTGTGATCTCATCTCTCACTCTCTCTGTCTCTTTCTCAATTTGATTCATCCACACAAGGCATAGCCTCACTGCTGTTCCTTGAACAAACTAGGTGTGCTCCAGCTTCAGATTCTTCTCACTTGCTATTCTGTCTTCCTGGAACATCTGATGCCTACTAGGTAGGCACATGACTCACTCTCTGACCTTCATCATGACTTTACCCAAAGAGTGCTTGTGTTACCAATCTACAATTTCTGTGAACCCCTCTGGTGCTCTCTAATGTAATTCCCTGGGTTATTTTCTCTCCATAGCTTTAGCATTATCTAAAATATATTACATTTTACTTTTTAACCTTTTTTATTTTCTCTGCCTCCTATCTCTAGAGTATAAATGGTACAAAGGCAGAAGTTTTCATCTATTTTATTTATTTCTGTATTCTTTTGATACATCATAGGAGCCTGCCCCATAAATATGGTCAAATGAATAGAATAAACTTAGGTCAGTGGCTGTATGGTATAATGCTTCAGAGTATGTGCTTGGGAGTCAGACTGCCTGAGCTACCCTATTGGTAATAATCCATGTAACCTTGCACGAACTGTATCCCCTTGTTTTGTTTTCCCATATAATAGGAATTATAATTGTCCCTATGTCATTGTGTTGTTGGAGGCATTAAATGAATGGAAAGCAATTAGTGTGGTTGCTAACATGCCTACCATAACCACTGGGAAAGTGTTTATGAGAAGTAAACCACTTGGCCTTGACTGCCATTACTTACCAATGGTGGTGCCCTGGGAATGGCCAACATAGTGTAGCTGCTTCTGTCCAGTTTTCTTTACAATGAAGTCGATTGTGGCTGGAAGGTCATATTTAGCCATTTCATCAAAGCTGAAAGGAAAAAGACAAAATGAAAGTGAATACATTTCCTTGCTATTGTTTCTAAAATTCAAGCATTTATAGCTAATGATCCCTTTGGGATACAGAAAACTGGATTCTCTAAACATTGATGCTTATAGACCATCAGTGGATGTCAGGTGCCCTTTGGGGCAGCTTCTTATAAACAACTGACATCATTTCTGAAGCGCAGCATTGCAGCCACAATTGAATCCAAACAAGATAGTATCTGTAGGTGGGAATTATTTCTATCCCTGAAATGAAATGTCAGATTTAATAATAATGTGTATGCTGTGTTCCATGTCATTTAATATAAATCCTGTCTTTCTCTATTTTATTTTTCACAAATCAGCCAACATGATATTTTGAAAATGAAAACTGTATTATGCCACTCCTCTTTTTAAAACTTCTCAGTGCACTCAGAATGAGGCCCAAGGCTCTCACTATCACCACTACTGCCCCATCTGCACCTCAGTCTTCACTCATGTCATTTTCCCTTTTCCCGCTACACCTGGGACACACAGGTTTCCTTTCAGCTCCTAGAACTCTTGAAACACTTTCATGCCTTAGCATCAGCAGCCAGGTTTTGTTCTGTTCTCTACCTCCATCAGTAATTTCCAGGAATAAGGCACAAGAAGACCAGTGAGAGAAGCCCATGATAATCTCTCCATGATATCTGAATTTCACTCTCCCCACCCCTCCTATTGATGATGATTCAGATTGCTGTTCTCCTACCCCTAAATGGGTTTTTACTTCTCTCTTGAATCCATATGGACATTCCTTTGGAATTTTCCAGGGGCTGTGAGTTTCCTTGCTTCAGCCATATTGTTCATTCCATTTGGAAAATCACTTTCTGGAAATCCCTAATGGAGACTCCTGAGATCACAAAAGTTTGAAGGAAAAGCTACCCTAGGAATGAGGTACATGGAAGAATCCAAGAATGGATTAGAATGAAAATGACTTGTTTATCCTCCTACTTGGAGTGTAATTTGTTAAAATGGGACTGGATTAGAAGGGGCAAATGCCTATGCTTTTAAAGCCCAGTGTTTATTTTTAATTGTCCCTTTTGTTTACCTGAAAGCCCAGAATTCAACTGAATCTGGTGAATAGTACAAGTTTCTTCTGGCCCAGGTGTTTCCTCTGCTGTTGCCCAGCCACACATCATAACCAGCATCTGCCAGAATGAAGGCAAGGCTGTTGTTCGGCAGGTTGGAAATCCAGTTTGTGGCTGATGCAAGCAAACCATGCTGCAAAAACACAACAGGTCTCTGGCCTAAGGAAGAAAATGTTTATAAACTTTATAAATGTATTCCTTATTCTAGGATAAATGTGAGGCTAGAAACAGTCTTCCATATGACTAGCACTAAATACATTTGCCTGATTGAGTTGATTATTTTTGAATATCTTATCGTAATTGTGGTGATGATTTCTCAGGGAGTTGATTTCTCAGATGCCAAAACTTATGAAACTGCACACCTTAAATATGAGCAGCTTATTATATGCCAGTTACATCTCAATAAAACTATTGAAAAAATTATATTCTCAGGTAATTCAGCACAATGTTAAATTTGGTAAACTGTGAGTGGTAAAATTACGAGTAATCTTTTTTTTTTCTTTTTGTACTTCATAACATTTCTACAATGAGTAAAAGGTAAATTTTTAATAGTACTAGTGAAAATTAGCCTGTATGTGTTTAGGAAATGAGCCTTGAATTGGTTCCCCATCTTCCCCTCTGCAACACACACCCTGGCTAACTCTTCCTGATCCTTAGATCTTCATCCAGTTACTGTTTCTGAGAGTGAGCTTTCCTTGACTCCCTTAGCTGAGTTAGGTAATTTTATTAAAACCTTCAGTTTAATATCCTATGTACAGTTGTAGCTTGAGCTTATCACATATTATTATAATCACTCATTTACTTATCTATTTCATTGGCTTGATGATGATCTCCTTGAAGACTGAAAATATAGCTTATTTTTGCATTTCCAGAATGAGCAAGACATTACATTTTTAGCAAGAAATAAAAGGAGGAAAAAGGGAAGAACAAAAGAAGGAAAAGTTGGAGGAAGAAAGGAGAGAGGGAAGGAAGAAGAAAGAAGGAAAGGAAAAAAGAGAGAAAGGAAGGAAGAAAAGAAGCTTATATATACCTGTATTCCCTGAATTTTTCTTCCCATAAGGAATTCTATTGACTTCAAGAATATAACCATCTTCAGTCACAACTTCATATTCTTCATTTGGGTATCCCCAATAAGTAATCATCTGACTCTGAGGAAGCAAACCCAAAAGTTTAAATTTTAGTTGATTTTTAGATATATCTAATAAATGAATATTACTGTTTATTTTTAATTGGTCATATAAAATCTTTAACTCATTATGATTTTAAATAATAGCATCTTTTAGTTTTATAGAGTTTTTCCCCAGAGTAACTTACAATGTTCATAGTCACTTCAGGGCTTCCAGGATGTAATTTTCCAAACAAACCATGTGTAGTCCCCAGTACAGATATCAAACTTGCCATTGTTAAAAGCAGCCACATTTTGGACCTGCCTGAAAGAAAAGAATAACCCGTGCCATGGTTAATCCATTATACTTTCATAATGCTTATATTTTATGCCAATTTTACCTTTGTGCTAAGTAGAGGAATGCTTGGGTTTGATTATATTCCATTGGGCAATAAAATGAGACATATGGATGTCAGCACAGGTAACTTAATGCTTAACATGTTTTAATGCTTAACATGTTTAAGCTTTTAATGCTTAACTTGTTTTCACTGTTTGATTCCTTTTGTTTAAGAACATTTTCCACTTGGTTTCAAGCCATACTGAATTAATCTTAATTGGCAAAAAAAAAAAGCCTCTAATTGGCATAACAATGTGTCCTTATTATGCTTTGTGTTTAAGACTTTTGCCTGCTTATTTTGAGAGCCCAGATTTGGGTGAGGGATGTGTGGGCCTTTGACTTCTCTATATCCAATCTCTGTATAACGTGTGTTCAAAGTAATCATGGTGATTTTAAATGTTGTTTATAATAGTTATTCCATAAACATTTACTGATTTGAGGTTATTATGTGATTTTCCCACCTCTGCTTCCAGGGTAGCTGGGACTACAGGTGTTCATCTGGCTAATTTTTTTTCTTTTTTTTAGAGATAGGGTGTTTCTACATTACTCAGACTGGTCTCGAACTCCTGGCCTCAAGGTATCTTCCCGCCTGGGCTTCCCAAAGCACTGGGATTATAGACATAAGCCACCACACCTAGCCTTATAGACAATATTTGGTATTAGGCCCACAACACCTGAACTTCCTTCTATGTTGTAGTCACTGATTATAAGTTTGAGAATCTTCAGATATTAAGCTGGTGAAAAAGCTTCAATAGAGAAGTGATATTGTCCTCAAATATTTGAAGGGAAGCCATGTAGAGGACAGTTTTAAATCACTTCATTTTTAGTGTGTCAGAAATAAATTATTCAATAAATATTTATTGAGAAATTGTATGTTAGGAGCAATACTTCGAGATCATATGTAGAAATATTTGACTTGAATACAGTGAAGAATGTGTAATATTTGGATCTTTGGATTCAAGTGGAATTCTTTGAAAAGTGGTGACTTCCCAGTTGCTGATAATATTTCAAGAAAACCCGTTTATAGTAATTCATGCAGAGCACATAGCATAGTTCCTGATTTACAGTAAAACCAGACCAGAACTCTCAAGGCCTAAATCTGACCCTCTGGTCTAATAGTTTGCCCACTGGTTTAGTATAGGATTAGATTTAAGGGTATCTCTTAAAAATCAGTTTTTGGCAGAGCGCGGTAGCTCATGCCTGCAAACCCAGCACTTTGGGAGGCCGAGGCGGGCGGATCAGGAGGTCAGGAGATCGAGGCCATCCTGGCTAACACGGTGAAACCACGTCTCTACTAAAAATACAAAAAAATTAGCCGGGTGTGCGCGCCTGTAATTTCAGCTACTTGGGAGGCTGAGACGCAAGAGTCCTTGAACCGAGGAGGCGGAGGTTGCAGTGAGCGGAGATCGCACCATTGCACTCCAGCCCAGGAGACAGTGTGAGACTCCGTCTCAAAAAAAAAAAAAAAAAAAAAAAATCAGTTTTTAACTAAGCCTTGTTTTTACCGTGATATTTTAGGAAGAGATAAACTAATATATAAAGACTAACCAGTAGTGTTGTAACATTCAAACCAGAGGCTTTCATCAAACATTTCAGGAACCCACATGACCTCCATTAAGTGATTTGCCATTGTAAAGTGAGGACACTTAACCTACTGTTTGCGTTGGAGAACATCTCAATGGGCTCAAAGATGTTCAAGGGCAGAATAAATTTCTCAAAATGCTTGTTGCCAAGTCCTAGGAAAATACCAGTAATTAACACATACAGAGGACTCACTGTGTGCTGTACTGTGTGTTCAACATGGTATACGTGAAATGAACTATCTTGCTAAGACAGTGTTCTCATCTATAAAACAGGGCCTGTAATAGTACATTTCTCTATGTTAGGGGAATTCATTATGATAACAAAAGTAAAGTTCTTAACATGCTGGGCATCTCATAAACGTTAGTTAAATATAGTTATTATGACTATTATCTCATTTAATTCTCATAGCAACTCTATGAAGTAGGTAGCATTATATTATCCATTTTACAAATAAGCAAGGTAAGGCTAAAAGAGGACTCGCCCAACCAAATATATAGAAAGTAGTGGAGCCCATATTTTAAACTAGTCTATTTCCAAAGGCTATGTTCTTCCCCACTGTAATACTCCTTCAGTATGACCCTGGGCCAGCTTTTATAGGGACATCCCCAGGGAGATTTATATAATTTGGTCTAGACTTCTGTTTTGAAAAGTTTATAATTTAAATAAATGTTTTAATAGCCTATAAGGTTTCACAATCGTATTAATAATGATCAATTCAACAGCAGTTGATTTGGATGATATTAAATATTAAACATAGCATATTAATACAGCCAATTATATGTCACTAGATTACTGATCTATTCCTTCTCAAAAAGAAGAGTCACAGAGACTAGACTTTCACATTAGGAACTTAATAAACAAATTTGTAATTCAATAGTTAAGAAATTATGAGACTTTCACATTAGGCACTAATTGCAATAATAAACAAATTTGTCATTCCATAATTAAGAGTCTCATGTCCATACAAAAAAAAGAATAAAATAAATCAAATCCTAGAGGAATAAGCCATAATTTAAACAGATACATTTATGCAGGTGAATATGCAACAAATATCTAAGCCTTTAAAAATGCATCACTTGGGATAAAGAAAAAATCTAATAATTCAAATAACAATTTTGTTCAGCAGAAGTTCTACTTACAGTTTCCTCAGAAATAGTTAGGATTCTGTTTCTCTGGCTGGTTAGTATTTTGGTCAATGTTGTATTGACTTCTTATATACAAAACCTTCAACAATGGTCAGATTCCTCATCCACTGATTACATTACCAAAAAGACTTACTATCTGGGCATCATCTAATGTTAACAGGACAAAACTAAAAATTAAATATTGCATTCATTTTCACATAATACTGAGTGCTCACCTTTAACTTTTAACAAAGACAAATATTGGCCAAAGTAGTTCTGAGGATTAAAATGATTTAGGAACCATTAAAAATAATCCTTGATAGCCTAAACATATAAACGTTTTTGAGCCAAAGGTATAATGCAAATGATTATATAGTTTGGCTCAGATAGAGAGGCATAAAATGACAAAAGGCCACCTGTTATTCTTTAAAAATGCAGCGCATAAGCTATTTTGACTAGATGGTTAGATAAGTGAATGTGTTCAGCAAAGATTAATATTTTATTATGGTCTTTGACCAGGGTCTCAAATCCTACAGATAATGGTCTAGCTATCATACAAAACCCAGCCCTTGACCTTTAAGAACATATTTTTGGTGTCTTTTTCCTTCTAAGAAATCTAGGCTTAATACCTGGACGATGAAACAATCTGTACAACAAATCTCCAGGACACAGGTTTACCTATGTAACAAACCTGCACTTGTACCCCTAAACTTAAAATAAAAGTTAAAAAAAAGGAAACAAAAAAATCTATGGGTTATAGTTTGAACAATATGAATGTGTTTATTAAAAGTATATATTAAATTATGTTTTAAAATACAGTTGATCCTTTACAACCATCATGAGCATCTGTTGCTCGTGGGATACATGTGCGGAATGTGCAGGTTTGCTGCATAGTATACATGCGCCATGGTGGTTTGCTGCACCAATCCACCCATCATCTACATTAGGTATTTCTCCTAGTGCTATCCCTCCCATTGTCCCCTAGCCCCTGGCAGGCCCTGGTGTGTGACGTTCCCTTCCCTGTGTCCATGTGTTCTCATTGTTCAACTCCCACTTATGAATGAGAACATGCGGTGTTTGGTTTTCTCTTCCTGTGTTAGTTTGCTGAGAATGATGCTTTCCAGCTTTATCCATGTCCCTGTGAAGGACATGAACTCATCCTTTTTCATGGCTGCATAGTATTCCATGGTGTATATGTGCCACATTTTCTTTATCCAGTCTATTATTGATGGGCATTTGGGTTGGTTCCAAGTCTTTGCTATTGTGAATAGTGCTGCAATAAACATATGTGTGCATGTGTTCCCTACAGTGGAATGATTTACAATCCTTGGGGTATATACCCAGTAATGGGATTGCTGGGTCAAATGGTATTTCTGGTTCTAGATCCTTGAGGAATTGCCACACTGTCTTCCACAATGGTTGAACTAATTTACACTCCCACCAACAGTGAAAAAGCGTTCCTATTTCTCCACATCCTCTCCAGCATCTGTTATTTCCTGACTTTTTAATGATCGCCATTCTAACTGGAGTGAGATGGTATCTCATTGTGGTTTTGATTTGCATTTCTCTAATGACCAGTGATGATGAGCTTTTTTTTCATATGTTTGTTGGTGGCATAACTGTCTTCTTTTGAGAAATGTCTGTTCATATCCTTCAACCACTTTTTGATGGGGTTGTTTTTTTCTTGTAAATTTGTTTAAGTTCCTTGTAGATTCTGGATATTAGCCCTTCGTCAAATGGATAGATTGTAAAAATTTCTCCCATTCTTTAGGTTGCCTATTCACTCTGATGATAGCTTCGTTTGCTGCATAGAAGCTCTTTAGTTTAATTAGATCCCATTTGTCAATTTTGGCTTTTGCTGCCGTTGCTTTTGGTGTTTTAAACATGAAGACTTTGCCCATGCCTATGTCCTGAATGGTATTGCCTAGGTTTTCTTCTAGGGTTTTTATGGTTTTAGGTCTTATTTTAAGTCTTTAATCCATCTTGAGTTAATTTTTGTATAAGGTATAAGGAAGGGGTCTGGTTTCAGTTTTCTGCCTATGGCTAGCCAGTTTTCCCAACACCATTAATTAAATAGAGAATCCTTTCCCCATTGCTTGTGTCAGGTTCGTCAAAGATCAAATTGTCTGTTTTTTGCTTGGTACGTTTTACTCATGATTCAAGATTTAAGTTTCACTTCAAATGTCATCTCCATGATGAGGACTTCTCTGAATTGTCCAACAGAGTTAGTTCATTCTTCCCCTGGTTGTCCTAGGTCTTCATGCATACCACACTTCTCACAGTTTTTGTGCTTTAAATATAAGCTGTCTGTTTCCTATCTAGACTGTGTATAACGAATGAAAGGGTGGATAGAATATATATATATATTATACATATTATATATATTTATATATTATATGTTATATATAATAAATTAGCACATGAGTAGAGACCAAAGAAGTTAATAAAATAGCGCATACTTTAGAAAATTTAAAGAACTCGGGACATAAATATAAGACAGTATTATCAATAGTGTTTCATGTTGGCCTCACTGAAGAAACATAGCAAGATCCACAAGAGTGCCCCAGCCTGTTCATAAGCAGATGCTGCCCTTTATATACTGTGAAAATTTATTTACCTTTTTTTTTCTGACAGGGAGAAGAATAGCATAAGCACAAAAGCATGAGCTCTGGGGTTAAACTGATTAAGCTCAAATTTTTGCACTACCACTTGCTTCCTGTATGAATTTATGTCAACTTCAGTCTCTCACTTCCTTCTTTTATAAGATTGGGATAACATTGCCTACCTCTCAGATTGTTGTTGTTAAAAATTAAATGAGATAATTAATTAAGTGAGATAATTCTTAATATACTTAGCAAAAGGCATAGTATAGATGCTCAGTAAATGGTACTTTTTATTTTTATTATGAATAAATTTACTAATTTCTCAAGACCTCATTCATTCATTGAGAACAAATATTTATCAAGTGCCTATTGCGTGTTCAACACTGTTTCAGAAGGTAGAAATACTTATTAAAAAGGCAAAAGAGATTCCTGTCCTGTAGGAGCTTACATATTACAGTACAGAGAGACAAACAATGAAGAAAGGGACAAAAATCTTAAACAGACCTTGAAAAGCACTGTGAAGAAACAGAGTTATATGAAAGAGAATAAGCAGAGGTGGATCACTTAGGATGAAGTAGCCATGGAAGGCTTCTCTCAGGAAGCAACTGGGACCTAAATGACAGGAAGGAACCAGCCTTGTGAAGAGCCAGTGAAATGCATTCCAGGCCAAGTTCAAAGAGCATGAAGTGGGAAATGACTTGTCATCTTCAGTGAACAGAAAAGAGGCCAGGATATGGCTGAGGCACAGGGAGTGAGGGTGAGAATGGTATAAGGTAATGTTGGAAAATAAGCCAGGTGCAGATCATAAGGCTCAAGATAAGGAGCTTTGAATTCATTTTAAGAGGAATAGAATGCACTGAAGGGTTTGAAGCAGGGTAGTGATATGCTGTATGTTTTTTTAAAAATCAACCTGGAGACTGTATAAAGATGAAGAAAGAAAGGAAAGAATGGAAACAGGAATGGCAGTTAGGAGCTTTTTCAGTGTTTCAGCTGAAAGATGATACAGCTTTGATCAGAATCGTAGCAGAAAAGGTAATAAGAGCTGATTCAAGGTATCTTCTGGGTGTTAGTCTGATAGAATTTACTAACGTTGGATTCAGGAGAGGTCAGGGTGGGAGAAAAAAAAGGAGAAATAAGAATGATTCGTAGGTTTCTGCTTTAACCAGCTGGGTGGATGGTAGATTGGATGGTTAATTACACAGGGAAGCCTCAGGAAGGAGCAGATGGGAGTGGGAGGTAGAAAGTCAGGAAATCCATTTTGGATATTTTGACTCATAGATGAAAATATGAAATAGATATTTTTCATAATACTATTGTGTTTAAGGAAACATTTGTATTGGAAACACATGTGACTGTAATTAGTACACAAATGGTATCTAAGCCTTGCAATGGGATAAAATCACTTAGGGAAGTAGCTCTCAATTTTGACTACGTACTAGATTCCCCTGGGGAACTTTTAAATACAGATGCCAAATCCCAGCCCTGATCAATTGAATAAGAAGCCCTAGGGTGTTAGTTGGACATGAATATTAAAAAAGAAGCCGTTAGATTAATTCTGACCCATTCTTGAGTGCTGAGAACCACTGACCCAGGGAGAGATTTTAGAAAGAGAAGAGAAAGTGGCCCTAGATTGAGCTCTGAGACACTACAATACTTAGAGAACTAAGATTCCCACTAAAGAGAACTGACAAGGAGCAGCCCAAAAGACTGAAAATAGACAAACTTGGTACTCTCAAGAGAGGAAAGGGTTTAAAATAGTGTGGCTAACTGGTTTCAGTGTTACTAAGAGGTCAAGTATGCTGAGGACAGATGTAGTGTTTTAAAATTTATTTTTCTTTGAAGCATAATATATACATAATAAAGTGTACTGTATACATCTTAAGTGCACATTTTGATTACTTTGTGTACCTGTAGACACTGGAGTAACTGCCACTCAGATCCAGATATGAAACTTTCCAACACCCTAAAAGGATCTTTTGTTTCTCTTCCAGATTCATATCTCCCTCACCTCCAGGAAGAAAGCAATTTTCTGATTATATAGTCATGGATTAGTTTTGCCCGTATTAAACTCCTTATAAAAAGAATTACACAATATGTACTCTTGTGTCTGGCTACTTTTGCTCAGCTTTATTTCTCTGAACTTCATCCATGTTATTCCATATATCAACAGTTCATTCTTTTTTGTAGCTCCATAATTTTCAATTGCATAAACTTAGTTAATACAATTCATCTAGTCTTCCATTTATAGATATTTGGGTTGCTTCCAGCTTATTGGCACTTATCGGTAAAGCTGTTATAACCATTCTATACATGGTTTCTGATGGACATACGTTTACTTTTCTACTGGGTATTTTTCTAGGAATGGAATTGCTGGTTCCTTAGGATAGGTCTACATCTGCCTTTAGAAGATCTTGCCACACAGTTTTCCAGAGTGGTTATGCAAACTTACACCCCCTCCAGCAATAAATGGGAGTTCCAATATTCCATAGACTCACCAACACTTAATATTATCATTCTTTTAATTTGTAGCAATTCTGGTGGATGTGAAGTGGTATTTCATTGTAGTTTTACTTTGCCTTTCTTGATAAATAATGGGAGACTTCTTTTTTTTTTTGAGACAGAGTTTTGCTCTTGTCACCCAGGCTGGAGTGCAATGGTGCGATCTTGGCTCACTGCAACCTCCGCCTCCTGGGTTCCAGTGATTCTCCTGCCTCGGCCTCCCAAGTAGTTGGGATTATAGGCGCCCGCCACTACACCCAGCTATTTTTTTGTATTTTTAGTAGACACAAGGTTTCACCATGTTGGTCAGGCTGGTCTTGAACTCCTGACCAGTGAGAAACAATGAGAAACATTTAACATACTTACTGAGCATTTAGTTATCCTCTTAGCGAAGTCCCTGTTCAAAACTTTTGGCCAATTGTGTTGACTTATTTTTCTTTTTCTTTCTTTATTTTTATTCTTCTTTTTTTTTTTTTTTTTTTTTTTTTTCAGACAGAGTCTCACTTACTCTGTTGTCCAGGCTGAAGTGCAGTGGCACAACCTTAGCTCACTTCAACCTCTTGCTCTTTGGGTTCAAGTGATTCTCCTGCTTCAGCCTCCTAAGTAGCTGCGATTACAGGCATGCACCACCATGCCTGGCTAATTTTTGTATTCTTAGTAGCAATGGGGTTTCACCATGTTGGCCAAGCTGGTCTCAAATTCCCAGCCTCAAATGATCCACCCGCCTCAGCCTCCCAAATGCTGGAATTACAGACATGAGCCACCAAAACCGACCAACTTGTTTTTCTTTTAATTGTTGATTTGCAGAAATTCTGTATATAATTTGGATATCGATCATTTGTTAGATGCATATCTTGTGAATGTTTTCTTCTAGTTTCTCAGTGTCTTGTTTTTACAGTCTTTTAATGATATATTTTGATGGAAAGAACATTAATTTTAATAAAATCCAATTCCTCAGTTCTTTTATGGTACTTTTAATGCCATATGTAAAAATCTTTGTCTACATCAAGGTCATGAAGTTATGTTTTTCTTTATAAACTTTATTGTTTTACCTTTTGTATTTAGGCCTCCCCAGCAATGCATATACACTCATGCAAACAAAATGTTGCCTATGATTTCTGAGGGCTTGTGCAGATTCCATGAAGTCCATGCATGTTGAGAATATCTGTTCTAGCTGAGCTACCATCTCTTAGGAATCAACCCATTTATAATGTAGATTATGTTTCCCTTTCTAGAGTCTCACTCTGTGACTCAGGCTGGAGTGCAAAAGTGCAATCATGGCTCATTGCAGACTCAATCTTGTGGGCTCAAGTGATCCTCCCACTTCAGTCTCCTGAGTAGCTGGGATGACAGCTGTGTGCCCCCTGGCTAATTTTTGTATTTTTTAGAGATGGGATTTCACCGTGTTGTCCAGGCTGGTCTTAAACTCCTGGACTCAAGAAATCCTCCTGCCTCAGCTCCCAAAGTGCTGGGATTACAGGCATGAGCCAGCCTGCCTGGCCTTGAATCATTTTTATAAGCTCACCTCCTTTGTCTTTACATTCAATCAGTCCCCAAGTCTACTGCTGATCTTTGATGCTTTTATTTTTTCAATTACTTTCATTCCTCATTCCCCTTTTTTTTTTGTTCTAGGCTTTTATTACACTTCAGCTATGATTTTTGCTGTCACTCTTCACTGGCATTCTAGAAACTAATTTTCCATTATTCAGTGCATTAGCAAACTGTTTCTCAATTTACAGTTCAAGTCCAATTGTATCACCTTTGGCTTGAAAATTAGAAATGGCTATCACTGTCCTGTGAATAGAGTTTAAATAGCAAAGAATGTACTTCATTCAACAAATAGGCATTTTTAGAGACTCCCCTCCATTCCAGGAAATAAGAGTATTCCTAAAATTCCCAACGCCAGTTGATCCCTCTGTTTCCTATGACCTCCCATTGCACCTTGGTAACTATAAAACTCATCTTGGTCCTTAAATCTCTATAGTTTTATATTGCTTCTTAATGACTTCAGAGCATGCCCTATTAGCTCAAGAAAATGAACTTCATTAGAATACATGTATATATCACTACAGAGCACATTAGTATTTTAGATATTAAATTAGATTATTCCCATCATCATTTCACAAATACATGAGACAACTCTAGGTGCTTAGCAAATGAGTTTATTTGATTGTCTTCATTAATTTCCAAAGTCTTTTTTTTTTAACTCATTTGTGGGCAACTGATTACATTGTCATCACAACTCTTCTTAGAAACCTAGGGTGGCCTTTGTCACTCTGAATAGTTGACAGTGACATTATTAAGAGCAGACATTTGTAACCCAAAGTTCATGTAAATTTGTGTGAATTTCTAAGGTGAGTAGTTTCATGGCTTCCATTAGACTCTTAAATTTATCCTTCACCAATTAAAAGGTTAAGAATTATAAATACTGTAACAATCTTTCAAATAACAATTACAACATGTTCAATAAGTGCATGAGTGAGATCGAGTAACAATGTAAAACTGAAAGAAGAATATTCGTGATGATAGAAGGATTTTCTGTAGGTAAAAAATATCATGCGAAAGGTTATTTTATATGCCTTATGAAGTCAATGTCAGCATTAAAGGACAGGTCATAAATGTGATAATGATTATTTCTGTAACTATTTTAGAGTACTAAAATATTACAGTGAAACAAGGAATATTTTGAAAACATATAAAAGGCATATATATATATATATATATAATAACATCAAGAGAAAAATCCCATTATCAACAAAGTCTGATATTTTTCTTAAAAAATAGTGATGGCAATACAATAATAGAAAAAAATCCTGAGCCTTGCATCTAGTAAGACCTTCTTTATTGTTTCTATGATTTAAAAGTAAATATCCTGAAGTGCACCATGATTTTAGAATAAATCCAATTGATTATAGGAAGGCAGAAACAGAAGGTGAATGAAGTTAGAGATTTGATAGAGTAAGTTGCTGACATCTTTAGGGTCAGACAGTAAGATTTTTTTCCCATTCACAGTACAGCTGGGATTTCTTTGTTGGTTACATGGGATTCTAGAGGAGTAGGCTAAATGAATACAAAGAAAGAAAAGAGATTTCACAATTAATCCCACTTAAAAGTACTATTAGGTCTTTGTAAAACCACATTTTACTAGAAGAGAATGTGTATCTTAATTATTTATGTTACTATTGGTGACAGTGAGCTGGCCTTAACATGTATAGCTTCTAGAAGAAAGACCACTTGCATATTAGCAAAATGGAAAAGGTCCACATCAGAGTAGCTCAACTACACCTGGCAAGTTATTTGGTGCCCTTCTATGAACAGACTGAGATTAGAGGTTGGACAATATTTTTATTCCTAATCTTTTAAGGCAACAGTAAAATCGACTGTTAAAAATCAAACCGGATTTGCTTTGTTGACTTTTCTGAAGGGATTATGATAGGTGTGTTTTAGAATTTCTAGACAAAGACCAGTCTGGGTGGCTGGCTAGTCTCCTACTCTGGCAAATTTATCCTAAGTTGATCCCTTGGGTCTAGTGATAAGGGTGTTGACCACACCCTTAGAGTGAACAAGGTTTAGCCCTAATCCTGCCTAGGTCTGCCTCCCACCTTACCCCCAACATTACTTGGGTAAGATAAGTTTTCAAGGAGTCCCTGACACAAAGGAGGCAAGCAGAGAGCCAAGAAAGAAAGCTGAGGAGGCTTTGGCCAAGAGAGAGAATTGTAAAAAACTACTTTGGGGAGAGAAAACCCTGGATGCTCTGACTATGAATTTATAGACAGAATCTGCTGCCCTAGGCAATACCCAAGTAATATGACAGAAGCATGAAGACAAAATTGTCATTGGCTGTGTCATATGATGACTAGAGTAGGTTAAACAGATTCAAGAATATTAAGGTTTCATTAGTTTTAGACAACATTTTGTACATTATATGTGCTTTCACTTGCGTTGTTATATGCAATATTCAAAGCCTATCTGTGAGGTAGCCATTAAATGTCATTGGTTTACAAGTGTGAACACCAGCTCAGGTAGGCCCATTGGACTCATGGCATGCAGCTGGAGACTGGAGGAGCTAGGAGCAGGGTTTCTGCTCATGGACTTAGTTCATCTTCTGGTTTACACTGGGATTCTCTGGAGCATCCATTGAAAGTCACTGTATTAGTTTGCTAGGGCTGCGATAACAAAATGCTACAGACTGGGTGGCCTAAACAACATAAATTTATTTTCTTACAATTTTGGAGGCTGGATGTTCAACATCAAGGCGTTCCAGGGTTAGTGTCTTCTGAGGACCCTCTGTCCTCGACTTGTAGATGACAATTTTCTCCCTCTGTCTTTACATCATCTTCCCTCTGTACCTGCTGCATCCAGATTTCCTCTCCTTATAAGCACACCAGTGATATGGTGTTAGAGCTCATCCAAAAGACCTCATTTAACCTAATTACCTCTTTAAAGACTCTATCCAAAAATAGTCACGTTCTAATGTATGGAAGGTTAGGACTTCAACATATAAATTTTGGGATGATACGGTTCAGACCATAAGAGTCACCAATAACAAAACTATGTCCTTATTCACTTAATATTTATAAATCATGTGTGATAAAATGAAATTTGCAGTACCTGAAACACTTTTTATAATATAAATTTGAATATTAAAAATCAAAAATGAATCTTTTTTAGCTTCAATTAGAACAATTTAGTCATGCCAAACTTTACAGTTTTTTCTTTGGTTTGTTTTCCTGGTTGTGAGCAGAAATAAATGACAGTGGGGCTCAGGACTTTTGTTTCATTAAGGTCAACAATTAAGAAATTTTTCACAACATTAGCTCAGCAAACTAAAAATTAGGTAATTCCATAATGCTGTAAACCTAGTAGATGTAAAAAGTTCACTTGTCAGCCCATGACTCCTGAGAAATTTTCCAAGGCAAAGCAAATGAGAGACCCATCCCAAATAAGAGACCCCAAGCAAGCATATAACTTGCTTCTTCTTATGACCTAATGTAACATCCGTGAAGCTTCCTTAGTATCAGAAATGCTGGCTCAGACTTCCAGACTGCAGAAGCTATGTGAAATCTGTGGCTTTGAGGGGAGTTGCATTTAGAGCCTGTGGATCTTAAATTAGTTGGTTAACAACTTGATCACACACCAGGGCCTGTTGTGGGGTGGGGGGACGGGGGAGGGAAGCATTAGGAGATATACCTAATGTAAATGACGAGTTAATGGGTGCAGCACACCAACATGGCACATGTATACATATGTAACAAACCTGCACGTTGTGCACATGTACCCTAGAACTTAAAGTATATAAAAAAAAAACTTGATTGGAATGTCTATGCTTTAGAGGAATCTTCACACATCCAGATAAATATTTAGGGAAGCCAAGGATGGCTATATGCCCTGGGGTAATTAGAAGTTTAATTGGCAAAATTCTTAATATATGACACATTTTCCATCTGAAACATTCTATTAGAAACAATACTAAATAAACAATTTCAGAGCACATATTTAATGAGATGTTTACTAATTCCTTTGTTACTTGACATCAAATTAACCAAAACAGAAAATTCAGAAATTATTGTCCACAATAGAAAGAATCTCTACTTTCTCTTTTATATTTACTGAAAAGAATAAAGTTCCACTGAAACTTAGGCATCCTCTGGGAACATTATAAAATTTCACAATTTAAAGTATAATAAAATAAATAAATAAAATTCCACAATTACCTCTTGCATTGACCAATGTACTTAAGAATATGGAAGGCCAGTCATATCAAACAGATTTATAAAATTAATCATACTGTAGCCATGGCATACTATGTAAACAAATACCAATAAAACAAGTAAAATGTACCTTCTTTTAGTAATAAATACATCTTATTAAAATATATTTCATTTAAGAAAATAAAATTAGTAATCAGGTAAAGTCGAATTGATTATTTAATAAAATAATATCATCTATTAGTTAAATTTTACTACTATATTATGACCTGGTTTGGTATCTTGGGAAAAACAATATTTCTACCAAGACATTACACTTTCAAGGTTTTCAATAGTTAATTCTAGGTTTACTTGATTTGGCTAAAAGTTAAAAACAACATTTTTTAATTTACAAGTATGTCTACCTTTTAGATGTAAGTATGAATAAACCAGAGTTTAGTTTAACTAAGGCTCTTCCAGTATTTGAGTCTTTTGAGGCAGCTATACCCACAAGCCATTTTTATCGACCTAGTCAACTTACATGTACTCTACGACTACACAGTTTTGAAGAAAAAAAGGTCTTGTATTCATAGCTACACAACTTCAAAATTTGAGCACTTTTTAACATTTTTTCTTTAAGCCAAACCACATTCTCTTTAAGGAATGAGATTATTTTGATTTCTCTCAGTAGTATATAAAGCCACTTGCAAAGCTAAGGAAAGATGTCTCCTCATAGGCTATAAAACAGCTATGATCCAATTAAGACTTTTTGGGGCTTTTATCAGTATTGAAAAGTAGGACAAGGCACCTTCCTTTAATTATCTCCTATTCCCCATTTTCACTGTTCCATCCCTTTTAAGGGATACTACACTGGAGTTAAAAATCTCCACTTGGTGATAAACATACTTTTGAAAACATCAATCTCATTAGTCATCCTTATTTAATCTTCAACCATAGTTGATTTTATTGGATACATCCTGCTTAAAATCAGCTTGAAAATTTTAAGATTTCATTGGAAGAGAGCTAAAATGAAGAAAGAATGAAGCAAACAGTAAAAGAGGAGGTGTTTCCCAGTCCAGATCGATCTGCCTCTCTAATCGTCTCCAATATTTTCCATTCTCTATCTTTTCCCCTCCCCAATTTATTTTTTTCTGTAACTTTTACTTAGTAAACTATTTTTGATATAGCTTAAATACTGTGATTAAAATAAAGAAGCAGTTAAAAGTGTGATCTAAAGTAACCAGCAGGAATGTTTAATGGTTTTTCCCATTATGTGTGATAGAGTGTGTATTTCTGCCAGGCGCAGTGGCTCACGCATGTAATTCCAGCACTTTGGGAGGCCGAGGTGGGCAGAACACTTGAGGTCAGGAGTTCGAGGCCAGCCTGGCCAACATGGTGAAACCCCATCTCTACTAAAGATACAAAAATTAGCCGGGCATGGTAGTGTGTGCCTGTAATCCCACCTACTTGGGAGGCTGAGGCAGGAGAATTGCTTGAACCCAGGAGGTGGAGGTTGCAGTGAGCCAAGATCATGCCACTGCACTCCAGCCTGGGTGATAGAGCGAGACTCTGTCTCAAAAAAAAATGTATATTTTACATCAGGAAATTAATTTTTTACTCTTATTCAAAACAGGAAGTTACTGCCAAAGGGAAAGAATTAGGGTTTCCCATTATTAAGGAGAAGGGCAACAGGGAGTTAGAGAAAAATAGAAAGTAAGATTCAAGATTTTAAACCTAGATGCAATCTCTGGGTTAACAGATTAATAGTGCCAAGCATTTCTCAGAGTGCACTGGAGAAAATTAAATAAAAATAATCTATATTTGAATAAATTTTGGAAATTACATTAGCAGAAACTGAGGAAATCTTCCAAGAGCACTAACAGCTACAAAATATAAATGATCATCCCAGCATAAAGTAGCAAGGGACAAGAATGGGATGACATCTAATAAAGCTTAGAAAGAAATTCTGATTGAACACAAACAGAAAATACTATTGTGATCACTGAGGTAAAGGACTAACTTAGGCAGAACTGAATATTGATATTAGAACTACAAAATACAATTGTATATAAATGTGCTTAACGTGTAGGGAGCTTTACAGAATTCTTATTTCAGAGTTTGTGGTTTTTTTAGATTCATATTTTCATGTGAAAAATCCCCCAAATCCAGCCATGTAATTTTGCTTCCTGCCTTCCATCTGCATTTTTGTACTCTGGCTCCAGAAAGCCAAACAGCCTCTGATGTCAGGGATGAGTAAGAAATAGTGAAGGAGTCCAAGAAAAAGTCATGATTAATCCAAAAACTATTTTACATAAATTAGAACATAATGTGTGGAATGAGTCAAAGCTCAGATTATATTCTGTTTTTCTCTTGAAAAATGAAGGCTATCTCATTTGGACTTTTTATCCTAAATCACTTATCTTGAAAGTATTTCCCAACAAGGGACTCAAGGTTCATGAGGTCCTTCATTACCTACTAGTTGGTTTCTTGGTCTCTTGAATTTCCAATGTGTAACCTATCTTTAGTTGTGAGTCATGAAGCTATTTGGCAAATGCTGCAGTCAATGCAAACTTTTCTAATGCAATGAGATTTTTAAAAAAGTTTAGTGTAAGATAAAATGGCAGTTAACTTGTGGTTTGAAGATATGCTCCAAGAAAATATGTTTATCAGAAAGTCAATTGAGGATTCACTTTTCTAATTCAGTAATTCTCACTTTTTGTTTTCAAGACCCTTTACACTCTTAAAATTATTAGGACTTTCAAAAGCTTTTTTAAAAAATGTGGGTTATATGTATATAAAATTAGTGAGACAAGTGCTTTATAGTTTTGCAAATCTCTTTCACGTCTGGCTCCACAAAGCAGTTGGATTTTTATATTTGTGTCTGCATTCAATCTACTGCAATAACAGCAATAAAAGACAAATAATGCATTCATATGATTATGAAAGTACTTTAAGTTATACTTTATTAAAATATTCATAATCAATTAAAGAATTCATTATGTATATCATAGAATTAGTCCAACTTGTCCTATCACATCTACGTCACTTCATTTATACATTAATGTTTGTTGGGAATCCTAGATTTGATTCATATACAGCTACCCGGAGCGAGATATAAAAACTGATCATTTCTGGTGCTGTTTTATATGGTATTAGTTTGACATCACCCATAATCCTTTCTATATTCTCCTCTGTTTAGAAGGGGAGCATGTTTGAATTCTCTTTCCTATGATGTGTTTCTGCTTTTGTCTTAATGAAAGGGTTTTCATTCATTGGGGCAGTTGTGAGCAGGTGCACAGGCTGATAACAGAAACTTATGGTGGCTTCTGGGTGAACTCCTGGGAATCACCCACACAGTGCTGCAGGCACCTGAAATCTGCCATCATGGCTCCCCTTTTATTCCTGAGCTTCACTTGCAGCAACTCCCAGGAAAGTTCCTGTAAATCACTCATTTCTAGCCGTGACTTTTTTTTGATCTTCATTGCTTGAGAAGTTCCATCAGTTCTGTAAGCATCTAATTCCACATATAAGAACACTTTCTGCTTGGAATACTTAGAGTGGCTTCTTTATTCTGACCAGACTTTGATATATACAGCTCAATTATTCTGGGAAAATCATTCGAGTAGTATAAAATTGGTATTTTTTAAATTTTCTTCATATTGAAAATATGTGATTAAGACAATAATATATATAATAGTTATTATGCAACTATTTTCTTTTTAGAATACGTTTATGTTATAAAGAGATAAAATAGTAATTTAAGAAAAAGTTATGGCTATTTGGAAATAAAGAATCACAGGTGCTAAGCCATTAAAAAGAAAGGAGCTCTGTAACAAAAAACTTTGCTAAAGGTGTTTCATAGTTAATAGAAGGGTGGGGACTAGAAATCCAAGTAAGCCCCATAGCAACACTCTCTCCACAATTCCCAGATGCAGAAAGCCCTCTTCTTTAAAGAGAAAATAAATAATTAAATAACTTCATGTGTGTGTAATATATTTTATATACATAATACATGTATGTATATATAATATATATTTACCGTATATGTATTACATGTACGTATAATACATATCTACTATTTATATATTTAATATATGTACATATAATACATATTTCCTACATATATGTATTACATGTATATTCAGGTCCAACGCTGTAACATCCTGTCATCATCCTGTTGGTTTTCTCACTCTTCTCATCCTTTCTTTGTCCAGCCCATTTAATTTGTACAGATATGACTTCCAATATCTCTAACCCAATCTTTCTCCTAAACTTCAATACCATATATCCAACTGTCATTTTGGGATCTAATCTTGGTTCTGTTATTTACTATTTGTAGGATCCATGGCAAGTTATTTAATCACTATAAATTCACTTCTTCACTCTAAAATAAGATTGTTAATACCTACTGCAAAGTATTAAGAATTCAGTGAGACAGTGTATGTAAAGCACCTGGCATACAATAAGCATACAATTAATGGTAACTATTATGACCACTATTAAGATTTTCCCTCCCTCCCCCCTCCCTCCCTACCACCCTCCCTTCTTTCTTTCTTCCTTTCCTTCCTTTTCTTCCTTTTCTTCCCTCCCTTTCTTTCTTTTCCTTTCTTCAGGATCTCACTCTGTCACTCAGACTGGAATGCAGTGTTGTAATCAGTGCTCACTGAAGCCTCGACCTCCCTGGGCTCAGATCAACCTCCCACCTCAGTCCTAGCTATTAAGTTTTTCTTACTGCATGAAGATATGTAACATTAACCTTCTTCCTACTGGATTATTATTATCATTATTATTATTATTTTGAGATGAAGTCTCACTCTGTCACCCAGTCTGGAGTGTAGTGGCATGATCTTGGCTCACTGCAACCTCCACTTCCCAGGTTCAAGTGATTCTTGCACCTCGGCCTCCCAAGTAGCTGGAATTACAGCACCTGCCACCACGCCTGGCTAGTTTTTGTATTTTTTAGTAGAGACGAGGTTTCACCACATTGGCCAGGCTGGACTCCAACTCTGGGCCTCAAGTGATCTGCCCCCCTTCGCCTCCCAAAGGGCTGGGATTACAGGTGTGAGCCACCACACCTGGCTCCTGCTAGATTAAACAACTTTCAGATTGATGCTTTGATCGAGTGATCACTTTATTCTTCTAAAATTTATGTCAGTACTATTTTTGTTTAAATAAATATATTCCTAATTTACATCCTATACAGCATACTCTATGCTCCAATTTCTCTCATTTTGACTTCAGCATTACATATTTTAATCACTGATTTCTCCCTGGGATTTATATAGGTGATTAGAGTTGGGGAGAGCTGGTAGGTGGTGATTAACTATATGGATCTAGTATTTTCTTTTCATTTCTGATACCCATAAAGGATACCACAAAACTTCAGCTTTAGAGTAATTTTGAATTTTGTTAAAATTAATTTTATTGAGGTCTAACTTATATACAAGAAAATTCACACCATTTAAGTAAACACTTAAATGAGTTTGATGACCTCCTTATCCATGTAACCACCAGCCAGTAAAGTTCTAGAACATTGCTATCTACCCAGTTCCCTTAAGCTCCTCCATTGTAGTCAATCATTCTCTATCCCCTTCCCCAAGGAAACAGTAACCTGATTTCTATTGATATAGATTGTTTTCCTATAATCAATGTAAATCATACAGTATGTACTCTTTTTCATTCAGCATTGCAGCTGTGAGATTCATCTATGTTGTTGCATGTGCCAATAGTTTGTTTTTTGATACTGCTGAGTAGTATTTACTGTCTGAATATACCACAATTTATCTATTTACCTCTGATACTTTGTTTACAGTTTTTTTGCTATTAGAGTTAAGGCTGCTATAAACATTTGTGTACAAGTCTTTGGAATGATATACCCTTTCATTTTTTTGAGTAAATATGTAGGAGTGAAATTTCTGGGTCATATAGTAAGTGTATGTTTAACTTTTGAAGAAACTGTTAAACTGTTTTTCTAAAGGAATCACACAATTTTACATTTTTAGTCACTTGCATTCTTAAAAGTTGTGTATGTCTGAGATGAAAACATATTTTAACTTCTTCAGAATCCCCTCTTTCTTCTTCTTGTTTCCCTCGGTACCTGACAACTCAATGGCAATGTCTAAAGAAATGCAGAAAGTTTGGAAATAGCAAGTTTTTAGACTTGGGAATGGTGGTGTGAAAGGAGTGAAGGAGATTCTTTAACCTCAATCTTAATTCAACTTTATATGACTAATCAGAATTTTCCAGCAGCCCCAGTTCTAATGATCTTTTTCCTCTTGGACATCTCAACAGGAAGTTTCATAGCAAGTGTGAGACCTTAACACTTCAAGTTTATGAATAGGAGAGGGTACATGGTACTGAAAGAATCTAAGTCTGGTTGATTACTTCCTTTATTTTCACTTTATGGGCACAGTGCAGAAGTAGAGACTAATGAGTACTTTCCCTCCCACGGAACATAGAGAACTATTGGGGAAAGCCTTCTCCTGCCCACCTCATGACCTGGGAGTTCTTGGCTAGATGCCCTCAGCATCTTCCCCCTTTCAGCTGATCCCAAGCCTTCCCCGGACATTTTCCCTCATCTTCATGGCATATGCAATGCTTGACAGATTTCCTTGTTTGTAGTTTGTGTGCTTGCATACATGTGTGCATTATTCTAGAGGGACTGGCAGGACTCAGAAAAGGCAGGAGCATGGAGACAATTAAGTGCCAAGTTCAAGAAGAGCTCACTCAGTTTTTCCTGGATTTAATGATAACTTTTATGGTTTTTGGTTTTGAGCCTTTTTTGTTCTTTTCTCTCTTTCTTTCTCTCTTTCTTTCTTTTTTTAATTTTCTCATTTGTATAGAGATTCACTAAGCATTTAAGGTGCTCCAGCTTCCAGGCTCACATCGCTGGGACTAATTAAATCATAGTCCCTACTTTTGTGGCACTCAGAATCAGGTGAGAGAGAGAGATATAGAAAAAAAGTTGCAACTGATTTTGTGTTTATTCAGTGTGATTAAGAAAAAAGAACAATTATAAATGGAGTGGCTTGTTTTCTGTGATCTCCCAAACTAGGCTGTGAGTACTTCAAAGGAAAGCAATGCATTAACTTCTTTTTCCATTCTTTTTGCAAGACCTAGAATTAAATATTAAGAGTAGAAGAGAATCATCTGGTTTGCCTCAGGTCCTCAAGTATTATAGGCTAGGAAACTAAGGCTCTAGGAGATTGACAGAGTTGTGAAAATGTCACAAATCTTGTTACTGATAGATTCAGGGGTGACTACCAAGTCACTTCTCTCTTCATTATACCAATGCCTTCTTTCAAATGATGCAAAATAATTTAATATTTTTATGTATTATTTTTCACACATAGGTCATCGTTTGTAAATACTTGATTTAAACTTGATAAATGGTTTTACTTGGAAAGCAATTACTATAGTTCTGAATCATTGTTCTAATGCCCAAAGTGTATAGTTTTTCAGTATTCATATTTAAATTTAGTGTTTACATTTTGTTATTTTTCTATGCTCCTTAAAAATGATATCCTCCCTTTATCAGCCCTAATTTAGTACAGTGACTTTGGTGAATTATCTGGGACTACATTTATAACTGAAGTTTTGCTGCAAGTAAACAGTTCAACTTCAATAAGTAGAAATGTTTTGAAGCAAAGATGACATGACTGAGAAGGAGGGTTTTTCTTGTGAGGAATGGACAATGGCAAGAAGGAAAATGAGCTCTATCATCTGAGCCTACTGCAGCCACTAAATGACCTGAGTTGTTAAATCCAAGGCTCCATAAACGATTCTTACAGAGATGAATTTATTGCCAACTTGTCAATTTGTTACCTGTTCTACATCAAAATATTACACAAATGTCACAAAGAGAAGAGGGAAAGCGTCTATTCCTCGACTGAATCTCTGAGTCTGATCCCCCAAATCTTCTTTTCTTGCATGTCTTCCCTTCTGCTGCAGTTCTTATGACACCATAAAAGAAGCAGAGTTGATCTTCTGAGTTTCTTTCTCTTGTTCACCTTTTCTTATCCCCTAATTCCAGTGTTCACAGTGACCTTTGGAGAATCTGCCCCATCCTCTCCCTTTCTGTAGCATCTCTCTCACTCTCCCATAGAACAAATGCTATCTCCCTTTACATTCTCTGTGTTTTCATATACTTTGGGCCTTTGGCAATTTCTGCTTTTGGTTTGCAGCCTATTGGGTATTAATGGCTATTTTGGTTTAATCACATGAACGCATTTTATCTGATATGTACACTGGTTTTTGCCTTACTGCTGCAGATTAAAAAAAAAAAAAAAGAAAAAGAAAACCTCCAAAGAGGTGACAGCAAAAATGAAGAATTCAGGAAAAAAGATACAGGAAATAAATTTGAAGCGTATTTCTGAGATCCATGACATCACAATATGTAGGTAGTAACATTCCTAACTCTTAGTGAATTAAAGGTGCTATTGTGTCACTGGCTGCTTCTTTCCATTCAGTTCCTCCACCTTAGTTCAAAACCTCATTATTTTGCCTTCATTATGGCATCAAACTCCAAACTCAATGTTTCTCTTAGAGTGTTCTGTGGGTCACATGTCTCTGAATCACCTAAAGTGCTAATTAAAATTGTAGATACCTGCAGTCAGCTCCAGGCCTGCTGAATCAAAATTTCCTGGGCTAGGGCCTGGGATTTATGTAAATAAGCACTCCAAGTGACACCAGTTTTATCACTGATTGATTGATTCATCAGGAATCTACTGTTTTCTAGACATTATATTAGGTAAATCATGCCAAAGTAGATCTGTTTCCTGTCCTTACAGAGTTTACAGTGTAGTGGCTTATGACAGACATTAAACAAGTTGGCACACAGATACTTACATAAGGGCAATGTGGTGAATACAGGAACAAAAAGACTAAAGTGTAGAAGGTAGGAAAAGGTGAAACTGCTTTCATAGTCAGAGAATGATTTGAGAAAGTAGTATTTAAATGTGAGAACTGAAGGATGAGAAGGTGCTAGCTGGGTGGGGAGTGTGGGGAAATTATTTCAGGGAACAGATCTTAAAACTCTCAGCTTGGAAGATGCTTGTTTGAGGAGCTGAAAGTAGGCCAAATTACTGAAGAATTGAGAATGAGGACGAGAGTTGTGTGAGATAAGTGGAATGATGATAAACAATTTAGCCTGTTAGGAGATTGCCCTGGCAACTATGAGAAAGATGTGTTAGAGGGGTTCACATAAACACAGGTCAAAGGCAGAGACTCAGGTCAACAGCAGAGAACTAACAGTCGCTTGGACTAGAGTGATGGCCTGGGTGCAGACAGATTTGAGATAAATTTAAGAGCTAGAATGAGCTAGACTTGGAGTTTTTAGACATGAGCAGATTTCTCACCTGGCCCAATGAAGTTATTATTTTGCCATTTAATGAGCTGGTAAAGACTAGGAAACTGAAAAGTTATTAAAGGGAAATCCAGAGGTGAGATTTGGACACATTAAGTTTGAAATGATCACCTCTTCACCACCACTCTATTACCCACCCTGGTATTACTTTCCTCCTTCATTCCCTCTATTCCTTCAGTTTCACATTTCTTACTCCTGTCTCTGACATCTAGGTGTGTCCCTGGGAGATCTCTAGTTTGAGAATTATGACTCTACATTGAACTACTAATAGATTCTAAAAAGCACTATGTTCTTGTTCACCTCTTCAGTTTGGTACTTCTGCATCCTTGTCCTAAAATGATTTCAATGCCGTTTTCCATGTGGGCAACCTCTAGTCAATTTCAAATATTTCTGCTATGGATTCTACTACGTTCTCCCCAAACAAATGTCATTCCTCCTTTGTGCCATCATTTTTCTTTGGCCCTAATTTTTGAATAACTTCTATCATATTGTTTTGACATGTTTGGTTCACATGTCTATTTTTCAATAACGCTATATAACTTGATATAGGAAGCATGCCTTATTAGGTATTTAATAGAGACCAGGGTCTCACTGTCTTGCCCAGGGTGGTCTCAAACTCCTGGACTCAAGGTATCCTCCTGCCTCAGCCTCCAAATGCGCCGGGATTACAGGCATGAGCCACTGCACCTGCCTTCTGCAATCTTCTTATGAAACAAACAACCTTCCAACTCTGAAAGCAGTAATATGAAGGCAGAAAATGAACTAAAATTTGTAAGGAGACTGAGAAGAGTGTTTACATTGCATAGCAATCCCAAAGTTTTAAAACTCCTCTTTTAGGTATATCGCTTTTTCTATAAACTTTCTACTACCTCTAATAGTAGCCACATAGTCCTTTCTTCTTATTTTTCTTCCTTCTCAGAAGCAATTGGCTTTAATTTTCCTCCTTGCAGTCCCTCTCTGAATTTCTATATTCATGGTATTTTAGTCAACAAGACAAAAGTTTGACAAAAAATATGAAGCAAAATAAAAATTCTGACTTCAGCCATAACTTCAAAAATCTGTATTTATTTAAGCATGGCTTTCTTTGCACAGTGTTATCTGCCACTAAAGAGAAGTGTGTAGTATTATGAAATAGTGTAATGCTGATTCATAAACTAGTCTGGCAATTGAGGAAATGCTGACTTTGAGCAGATGACATTCACACTGGATGAGCAGAATGAGTAAGAAATATTTGACAAATCTTGAAAGCAAGATTTTAACAAAGTTAGTTTGATGGAGGCAAATCATTCAGGTAGAGGAAATGGCACCTATGAAGCCCTTATAGTAGCATGAAAATGATAATTTCAAAAACTGGAAGAAGGATAATGTGAATGAAGATCTGATTTTCAAGGTAGTGCCAAAGGCGAGACTACTTAGAATGACAGAGACTGTATCACATAGGACCTTATGGGTTGTGTTTAGAATTTGGAATTTTGTTCTAAGAAGAAAGGAAGCCACTGAGTTGTATTAAGCAGGGAAGGAATTGACAAAATTATATTTGCTTTCTACAAACCTCATTCTAATGGTAGTGTGGAGAATTGCCCAGAGAGGCAAGACTGCCTCTGGGAAAGTTACAAGGCCCTTCCACAATTCCTAGTGAAATATGATAGTGACCTGGAAAAGGATGGTGATATTAAAGAAAGATGGCAGATTTAAAACACATTTAGCAGGAAGAATCAACAGGACTTAATGATTAATTGGCTATAAAGGATTAACAAGGTGGACGTGACAAGGATAACGATCAGTTTCTGTCTTGGGCAGATTGGTGATAATGTGCCATTTACAGAGATTGGAGCCCCGAAGGGGTCATGACCGAAAGGTAAGATGATAGGTTTAGATGGGGTGTGTTTAGTTTGAAACACATGTGAATCATTCAATTTGAGTCATTGAGAAGGCAATTTGAGCTATAGACCTGGCACTAAAGGATGAGGTTTGAGCAGAAGAAATAAAATTTGAGGTCATTAATATAAAAATAGCACCTGAAGGCATAAGAATAGTTGCAATATCTTATAAAGTTTACGTGAGAAGAGAACCTACTATTAATCCATCAGTCATTTGACTTTTAAAAGACGAAAGAGGATAACATAATGTGAACATCAAACAATAAACAGGCACACAAACCCCATCTGCTACTCTTCAGGTTCTTTAGGAGAATGATTTGGGAAAGTCATATAGAACTGTTTGTCAAGATCATTTACTACTTGTATCTTATATTGATGACCAAATACATTTTAAAACTCATCCACTGATATTTGATTTTAATATACATCATGAAACATGGGGTGGAATATAACTCATCATTATGAAATTAGTAACTCACCAAGGTTTTGGTCAGAGAATGATAGTAAGATGGAACTCAAGACAAAAAATACTGAGCCAAGAATCAAACTCTAATCAACTGCTGGGGCACTTGTCTCAGTCTCTTGGGATGTAAATGTTCTTGTCTCTTAATTGAGAGTTGGAGTTGATTCTAATAAGTGATTCTATGATTAACCATAGGCCACTTAGCCTCAGGGCCCTAGAAATACCTTTGCACCCAGCTACAGAAAATCCGAGCTTTGATCACCTTGGTCAACTCCATCTTGTCTTTAGCTCAGACATCAAGGTTAATCTGTTTATTGCTTCCTGGCTCTGTGAGTAGAAAGTATGGATCACTTGAAGCGTCCATGAAGATGAAGTCTGCTTTCACTCCCTCACATTCCAGACTATGTAGTGACCCCAGAACAAGTGCTTTATTTTTTTTTAGACGAAGTCTTGCTCTGTTGCCCAGGCTGGAGTGCAGTGGTGTGATCTTGGCTCACTGTAACCTCTACCTCTCGATTCAAACGATTCTTCTGCCTCAGCCTCCTGATTAGCTGGGATTACGGGCACGTGCCACCATGCCTGGCTAATTTTTGTGCTTTTAGTAGAGATGGGGTTTCATGATGTTGGCCAGGCTGTTATCAAGCTCCTGACTTCAAGTGATCTGCCCACCTCAGCCTCCCAAAGTGTTGGGATTACAGGCGTGAGTTCTATAAATGAAAGGAAATTTCAACTCTTGTCTCAAGTTTATTGCTTGCTCTTGGGTACCAGGATCCGACTAGATTATCTCTCGCATTTGAAGAGCATAGGAAATAGGAAACACCATATATACAAGTAATATTCTGAGGAGTGGGGTAGATCATAAGGGTATAAACATTTACTGAAAGATTAAGTTGAAAAATAACTATTTCTCCTCCCTGTTTCTCTATTCACAATTCCCTCATATTCACCAGAGGGCCACCAAAAAGGTTAAAAAGGAAAAAAAAAAAAAGAAAAAAAAAGGACTCCTAATGCTTACTAGATAATGATTCCACCTCTGAGATCAAGAAGCAGAAAGCACAGCTGCTTCATAGAGAAGATAATAATTTATTTAATTATATCTCAATTCTCCTGCTGTTGTTTTGCTACGTGCAAGGAGTACCCACACATATCCTTGAAATGAAGCTTTCTAGCACCCATAAAAATAGGGCTTGGGTCTCCCTGTATGTTTTTCAGTTTATCAATTACACCTTGAAAAATCAGATTTAATTTTAATGGTATTGACCTATCATAAATATTTTAGGACAGAAATTAAAGTACCTTTAGACTCATCTAGCCCAAACCTCTTGTTTCAAAGGGTGAAGTGAAGACAGAGAGGTGAGGTGATTTGTCCAAAAGGCACATATAGCTGGTTAATAGCAGGATTCCAACTAGAATATAGTCCTGTGAACTTTCCATTATAATGCATAACTCAGGATGGCTATAAGATCACCAAACATAAAGTATCATAAGCTTTTGCTTGATGTTCAAAAATTGCTGAAAGGAGAACAATGAGCAATAGTTTGAAAACATTCAGTTCCCCGAGTGTACATATGGATAATGTCAACTTGGTACAGTTAACATAGCCTTAGACTTTTCCTCGACTTTAAGGTAAACAACCAGCATGCACTTCTGAGGGCTATTGACTGGAGGATGAAGATAAGATAATCTTATGTAGGAAATTTTATCTTTGAAATTAACTACATTTTACTTGCTGGGTAAATAAAAGTGGGTACATAGAGGAAAATAAAAGACTTATTATTTGGACTTTTTAAATAGGTAGACATTTTAATACCTTTTGTTCTCTGTGTGTAGTGTGAGCTAACATTAGTAACACCTGAAAGAACATTCTGAATTATCTTAAGGACATTTATGCAAAAGATAGAAATAAAATACAAACAGTTTCCTAAGATGTGCAAAGGCTGTGCTCAGATTATTTTCTCAGCAGTCCTCAATTCTGCTGCTTTTTCCCTTTCCTGTCTTCCATAACCCCTGTCTTCTCTTCCTTTTCCTTCTCCTTTCTCTTTCTTATGAATACATGTACATAAATTCAGAAGTAATACCTAGAGAACCTTATGAAGGAAGGATTTGGGGACTCCTTAGAGAAGATTTATAGATCTCAAAATTTAATCAGAACTATTGTTTTCACTTTAACCAGCAATCTGGGTCTGGATAAGAGGTTGGAAAACCATAGGCTATGAAACCAGCTGTTCCCCCATTTTGCTCCCTCTCCTGGGAGGCAACAATATTTAAAGCAGGCCAATTAACAACCCTACAATAGCCTCTAAGCTGTTCAAGTGAAAGGAAAAGTCTAATTTTAAATAAAAAGCTAGAAATGATAAGCTTAGTGAAGAAAGCATGTCAAAAGCTGAGATAGGCCAAAAGCTAGGCTTCTTGTGACAAACAGTTAGCCAAGGTGTGAATGCAAAGGAAAAGGTGTTGAAGGAAATTAAAAGTGTTACTCTAGTGAACACATGAATGATAAGAAAGTGAAACAGATTTATGGCTATATGGAGAAAGTTTTAGTGGTCTGGGTAAAACATCAAACCAGCCACAATATTCCCTTAAGCCAAATTCTAATCCAGAGAAAGGTTCTAATTCTTCTCCATTCTATGAAGTCTAAGAGAGGTGAGAAAGCTGCAGAAGAAAAGGCTGAAGCTAGAACAAATTTGTTCATGAGCTTAAAATAACCTCCATAACACAAAAGTGCAAGGTTCAGAAAGACAAATATAGCATGTTCTCGCACATACATCGGAGCTAAAAAAGTACATTTTATGAACACAGAGAGTAGACTGATGGTAATCAGAGTCCAGGAAGGGTAGGGTGGAGAAGGTGATGAAGAGAGGTCGATTAATGGGTACAAGTATAGAGTTAGATAAAAGAAACAAGATCTAGTGTTTGATAGATCAGTAGATCTATCAAATACACTATAGTTAACAATAATCTAATATACATTTCAAAATAGAAAAGAATAATTTGAATGTTTCTAATGTCAATAAAAGATAAATATTTAAGGTGAGGGATATCACAATTACCCTGACTTGATCTTTACATATTATATTAATATATCAAATTATCACATGTACCCCCAAAATATGTACATCCATTATGTATCAATATAAAAGTGCAAGGTGAAGCAGCAAGTCCTGCTGTAAAAGCTGCAGCAAATTATTCAGAAGATCTACTTAAGATAATTTACGAAGGTGGCTACACTACACAAGATTTTCAATGTAGACAAAATAGCCTTCTATTGGAAGAAAGTGCCATCTAGGACTTTCAGAGCTAAAGAAAAGAAGTCAATATGTGGCTTCAAAGCTTCAGAGGATAGGCTTTGTTAGGGGGTAATGCAGCTGGTGACTTTAAGTTGAAGCCAATCCTCACTGACCATTTTGAATATCCCAGGGCCCTTAACAATTACTCTAAATCTGCTCTGCTTGTGCTCTATAAAAGTAACAATAAAGCTTGGATGCCAGCATATCTATTTACAGCATGATTTACTGAATATTTTAAGCCCACTGTTGAGACCTACTGCTCAGAGAAAAAAATTTCTTTCAAAATATTACTGCTCTTGACAATGCACCTGGTCCCCCAAAAGCTCTGGTGGAGATGTTCAATGAGATTAATTTGTTTTTCATGCCTGCTACCATAATATCTATTCTGCAGCCCATGTATCAAGAAGTAATTTTAACTTTCAAATCCAATTATTTAAAAAATACATTTCAGAAGGCCTTTGCTGCCATAGATAATGATTACTCACATGGAATCACTACTTTCCTCAACAAAGTAAATTGAAAGTCTGGAGTCTGTAACCAGGATAGCAGGGGTCTGCTGTGAGGAGCTCTGCACTTGTGCTACCAGGAGCTTTGGCTCCACTCCCTGTGCAGTGTGACTTTAACTTGAAGAAAGAAAGAAGATAGAAATGACATTCCTAGGAATCCAGAGTCAAATTACTGATTATTCAGCAACATAGGCAGCCCTCAAAGGTGATCTTGTTTCCATTTTGTAAGCAAGGAAACTGACGCAAATAGAAGGAGTTGTCAGACAGCCTATCAGGTTGGTGCCCCTCAAGGTCGGAGATCCCAGAAGAAGGAGCAGGCACCCATCTTTGCTGTTCTCCAGGCTCCTTCAGTGACATCTCCAGGTGCGGGAGTGAATAAGAGGAATAGGGCCTGAAGTGAACCCCCAGCAAACCGCAGCAGCCCTACAGAAGAGGGACCTGACCATTGAAAGAAAAACTAAAAAACAGCAAAAAATCATCAGTAACAACAAAAAGTCCCCACAAAAGCCCCACCCAAGGGTCAGCAGGCTCAAAGATCGAAACTAGAAAAACTCACAAAGCTGAGAAAGAATCAGTGAAAAAAATGCTGAAAACCCAAAAGGCCAGAGTGCCTCTTCTCCTCCAAATGATTGCAGTGCCTCTCCAGAAAGCATGCAGAACTGAACAAAGGATGAGATGGACGAATTGACAGAAGTAGGCTTCAGAAGATGGGTAATAAAAAACTCTGCTGAGCTAAAACAGCATGTTCTAACCCAATGCAAAGAAGCTAAGAACTTTGATAAAAGGTTAGAGGAGCTGCTAACTAGAATAACCAGTTTAGAAAGGAACATAAATGACATGAGTGGAGCAGAGAAACACAGCACATGAACTTCATGAAGCATACAAAAGTATCAATAGCCAAGTCTACCAAGTGGAAGAAAGGGTATCAGAGTTTGAAGACCATCTTGCTGAAATAAGGCATGCAGACAAGATTAGAGAAAAAAGAATGAAAAGGAACAAACAAAGCCTCCAAGAAATATGGGGCTACATAAAAAGACTGAACCTATGACTGATTGGAGTACCTAAAGGAGACACGGAGAAAGGAAACAAGCTGGAAAGCACACTTCAGGATATTATCCAGGAGAACTTCCCCAACCTACCAAGACAGGCCAACATTCAGATTCAGGAAATATAGAGAACACCACTAAGATACTCCATGAGAATTTCAGCCCCAAGACCCATAATCAGCAGATTCTCCAAGGTCGAAATGAAGGAAAAGATGTTAACAGCAGCTAGAGAGAAAGGCCAGGTCACCTACAAAGGGAAGCCCCTCAGACTAACAGCAGACCTCTCAGCAGAAACCCTACGAGCCAGAAGAGAGTGGGGGCCAATATTCAACATTCTAAAAGAAAAGAATTTTCAACCCAGAATTTCATATCCAGCCAAACTAAGCTTCATAAGTGAAGGCAAAATAAAATCCTTTCCAGACAAGCAAATCCTGAGGGATTTTGTCACCAACAAGCCTGCTTTGCAAGAGCTCCTGAGGGAAGCACTAAATATGGAAAGGAAAAACCAGTACCAGTCACTGCAAAAACACAACAAAATATAAAGACCAATGACACTATGCAACAACTAGTGTGCAAAATAACTAGATAGCATCAGGAAGATAGGATCAAATTTATGCATAACAATACTAATCTTAAATGTAAATGAGCTAAATGCCATAATTAAAAGACACAGACTGACAGATTGAATAAAGAGTCAAGACCCATCGGTGTGCTGTATTCAGGAGACCCATCTCGTGTGCAAAGACACACATAGGCTCAAAATAAAGGGATAGAAGAATATTTACCGAGCAAATGGAAAGAAAAAAAAAAAAAGCAAGGGTTGCAATCCTAGTCTTTGACAAAACAGACTTTAAACGAACAAAGATCAAAAAAGACAAAGAAGGGCATTACATAATGGTAAGGGGATCAATTCAACAAAAAAGCTAAGTATCCTAAGTATATACACACTCAATACAGGAACACCCAGATTCATAAAATAAGTTCTTAGAGACCTACAAAGAGACTTAGACTCCCACATAATAATAGTGAGAGACTTTAACACCCCACTGTCAATATTAGACAGATCAATGGGACAGAAAATTAACAAGGATATTCAGGACTTGAACTCAGCTCTGTATCAAGTGGACCTAATAGACATCTATAGAACTATCCACCCCAAATCAACAGAATATACATTCTTCTCAGTGCCACATGGCACTTATTCTAAAATTGACCACATAATTCGAAGTAAAACACTCTTCAGCAAATGCAAAAGAACTGAAATCATCACAAACAGTCTCTCAGAATACAGTGCAAACAAATTAGAACTCAGAATTAAGAAACTCAACTAAAAACCACACAATTACATGGAAATTGAACAATCTGCTCTGGAATGACTCCTGGGTAAATATTGAAATTAAGGCAAAAACCAAGTCTTTGAAACCAATGAAAACAAAGAGGCAATGTACCAAAATCTCTGGGACACAGCTAAAGCAGTATTGAGGGAAGTTTATGGCACTAAATTCCCACATCAGAAAGCTAGACAGATCTCAAATAGACATCTTAACATTATAATTAAAAGAGCTAGAGAAGAAAGAGCAAACAAATCCAAAAGCTAGCCAAAGACAAGAAATAACTAAGATCAGAGCAGAATTGAAGGAGATAGAGACAAGAAAAATCCTCCACAAAATCAATGAATGAATCCAGGAGCTGGATTTTTGAGAAAAAAAAATTTTTAATAAAATAGATAGACCCCTAGCTAGACTAATAAAGAAGAAAAGAGAAAAGAACAAATAGACACAATTAAAAAAAGATAAAGGGGATACCACCACTGACCCTACAGAAATACAAACTACCATCAGAAAATACTATAAACTCCTCTATGCAAATAAACTAGAAAATCTAGAAGAAATGGATGAATCCCTGGACACATACACCCTCTCAAGACTAAGTCAGGAAGAAGTCAAATCGCTGAATAGACCAATAACAAGTTCTGAAATTAAGGCAGTAATTAATAGCCTACCAACCAAAAAAAGCCCAGGACCACACGGATTCATAGCCAAATTCGATCAGAAGTACGAAGAGGAGCTGGTACCATTCCTTCTGAAATTATTTCAAACAATTGAAAAGGAGGGACTCCTCTCTACCTCATTTTATGAAGCCAGCATCATCCTGATACCAAAACCTGGCAGAGACACAACAACAAAAAAGAAAATTTCAGGCCAATATCCCTGATTAACATCAATGCAAAAATCCTCAATAAAATACTGGGAAACCAAATCCAGCAGCAAACCAAAAAACTTATCTACCATGATCAAGTTGGCTTCACCCCTGTTATGCAAGTCTAGTTCAGCATACGCAAATCAATAAACATAATCCATCACATAAACAGAACCAAAGACAAAAACCACATGATTATCTCAACAGATGTAGAAAAGGCCTTTGAGGGCCATTCCAAGATGGCCAAATAGGAACAGCTCCAGTCTACAGCTCCCAGCATGAGCGATGCAGAAGACAGGTGATTTCTGCATTTCCAACTGAGGTACCGGGTTCATCTCACTGGGGCTTGTCGGACAGTGAGTGCAGGACAGTGGGTACAGCACACCGAGTGTGAGCCGAAGCAGGGCAAGGCATCACCTCACCCAGGAAGCGCAAGGGGTCAGGGAATTCCCTTTCCTAGCCAAGCAAAGCTCTGACAGACAGCACCTGGAAAATCGGGTCACTCCCACCCTAATACTGCACTTTTCCAATGGTGTTAGCAAATGGCACACCAGAAGATTATATCCTGCACCTAGCTTGGAGGGTCCCATGCCCACGGAGCCTCACTCATTGCTAGCACAGCAGTCTGAGATTGAACTGCAAGGCAGCAGCGAGGCTGGGGGAGGGGCACCTGCCATTGCTGAGGCTTGAGTAGGTAAACAAAGCAGCCAGGAAGCTCGAACTGTGTGCAGCCCACCGCAGCTCAAGGAGGCCTGCCTGCCTCTGTAGACTGCATCTCTGGGGGCAGGGCATAGCCGAACAAAAGGCAGCAGAAACCTCTGCAGACTTAAATGTCCCTGTTTGACAGCTTTGAAGAGAGTAGTGGGTCTCCCAGCACGGAGTTTGAGATCTGAGAACGGACAGAGTGCCTCCTCAAGTGGGTCCCTGATCACCGAGTAGCCTAACTGGGAGGCACCTCCCAGTAGGGGCAGACTGACACCTCACATGGCCGAGTACCCCTCTGAAATGAAACTTCCAGAGGAAAGATCAGGCAGCAACATTTGCTGTTCAGCATTATTCGCTGTTCTGCAGCCTCTGCTGCTGATACCCAGGCAAACAGCGTCTGGAGTGGACCTCCAGCAAACTCCAACAGACCTGCAGCTGAGAGTCCTGACTGTTAGAAGGAAAACTAACAAACAGAAAGGACATCCACACCAAAACCCCATCTGTACGTCACCATCATCAAAGACCAAAGGTAGATAAAACCACAAAGATGGGGAAAAAACAGAGCAGAAAAGCTGAAAATTCTAAAAATCAGAGTGCCTTTCCTCCTCCAAAGGAATGCAGCTCCTCACCAGCAACAGAACAAAGCTGGATGGAGAATGATTTCAATGAGTTGAGAGAAGAAGTCTTCAGATGACCAAACTTCTCTGAGCTAAAGGAGGAAGTTCAAACCCATTGCAAAGAAGTTAAAAACCTTGAAAAAAGATTAGATGAAGGGCTAACTAGAATAACCAATGTAGAGAAGTCCCTAAATGACCTGATGGAGCTGAAAACCATGGCACGAGAACTACATGACAAATGCAGAATCTTCAGTAGCCGATTCGATCAAATGGAAGAAAGGGTATCAGTGATTGAAGATCAAATGAATGAAATGAACTGAGAAGAGAAGTTTAGAGAAAAAAAGAATAAAAAGAAACAAAGCCTCCAAGAAATATGGGACTATGTGAAAAGACCAAATCTATGTCTGATTGGTGTACCTGAAGTGACGGGGAGAATGTAACCAAGTTGGAAAACACTGCAGGATATTATCCAGGAGAACTTCCCCAATCTAGCAAGGTAGGCCACCATTCAAATTCAGGAAATACAGAGAACGCCACAAAAATACTCCTCGATGAGAGCAACTCCAAGACACATAATTGTCAGATTCACCAAAGTTGAAATGAAGGAAAAATTGTTAAGGGCAGCCAGAGAGAAAGGTCGGGTTACCCACAAAGGGAAGCCCATCAGACTAACAGCAGATCTCTCGGCAGAAACTCTACAAGCCAGAAGAGGGTGGGGGCCAATGTTCAACATTCTTAAAGAAAAGAATTTTCAACCCAGAATTTCATATCCAGCCAAACTAAGCTTCATAAGTGAAGGAGAAATAAAATCCTTTACAGACAAGCAAATGCTGAGAGATTTTGTCACCACCAAGCCTGCCCTATAAGAGCTCCTGAAGGAAGCACTAAACATGGAAAAGAACAACTGGTACCAGCCACTGCAAAGACATGCCAAATTGTAAAGACCATTGATGCTAGGAAGAAACCACATCAACTAACGAGCAAAATAACCAGCTAACATCATAATGACAGGATCAAATTCACACATAACAATATTAACCTTGAATGTAAATAGGCTAAATGCTCCAATTAAAAGACACAGACTGGCAAATTGGATAAAGAGTCAAGACCCATCAGTGTGCTGTATTCAGGAAACCCATCTCACGTGCAGAGACACACATAGGCTCAAAATAAAGGGATGGAGGAAGATCTACCAAGGAAATGGAAAACAAAAAAAGGCAGGGGTTGCAATCCTAGTCTCTGATAAAACAGACTTTAAACCAACAAAGATCAAAAGAGACAAAGAAGGCCATTACATAATGGTAAAGGGATCAATTCAACAAGAAGAGCTAACTATCCTAAATATATATGCACCCAATACAGGAGCACCCAGATGCATAAAGCAAGTCCTTAGAGACCTACAAAGAGACTTAGACTCCCACACAATAATAATGGGAGACTTTAACACCCCACTGTCAACATTAGACAGATCAACGAGACAGAAAGTTAACAAGGATATCCAGGAATTGAACTCAGCTCTGCACCAAGCAGACCTAATAGACTTCTACAGAACTCTCCACCCCAAATCAATAGAATATACATTATTCTCAGCACCACATGACACTTATTCCAAAATTGACCACATAGTTGGAAGTAAAGCCCTCCTCAGCAAATGCAAAAGAGCAGAAATTATAACACACTGTTTCTCAGACCACAGTGCAATCAAACTAGAACTCAGGATTAAGAAACTCACTCAGAACCACTCAACTACATGGAAACTGAACAACCTGTTCCTGAATGACTACTGGCTACATAACGAAATGAAGGCAGAATTAAAGATAGTCTTTGAAACCAACGAGAACAAAGACACAACATACCAGAATCTCTGGGACACATTTAAAGCAGTGTGTAGAGGGAAATTTGTAGCACTAAATGCCCACAAGAGAAAGCAGGAAAGATCTAAAATTGACACCCTAACATCAAAATTAAAAGAACTAGAGAAGCAAGAGCAAACACATTCAAAAGCTAGCAGAAGGCAAGAAATAACTAAGATCAGAGCAGAACTGAAGGAGACAGAGACACAAAAAACCCTTAAAAAATCAATGAATCCAGGAGCTCGTTTTTTGAAAAGATCAACAAAATTGATAGACTGCTAGCAAGACTAGTAAAGAAGAAAAGAGAGAAGAATCAAATAGATATAAATGATAAAGGGGATAATAAAAAATGATAAAGGGGATATCACCACTGATGCCACAGAAATACAAACTACCATCAGAGAATACTATAATAAACACCTCTACGCAAATAAACTAGAAAATCTAGAAGAAACGGAAAAATTCCTGGACACATACACCCTCCCAAGACTAAACCAGGAAGAAGTTGAATCTCTGAATAGACGAATAACAGGCTCTAAAATTGAGGCAATAATTAATAGCTTACCAACCAAAAAAAGTCCAGGACGAGACGGATTCACAGCCGAATTCTACCAGGGGTACAAGGAGGAGCTGGTACCATTCCTTCTGAAACTATTCCAATCAATAGAAAAAGAGGGAATCCTCCCTAACTCATTTTATGAGGCCAGCATCATCCTGATAGCAAAACCTGGCAGAGATAGAACAAAAAAAGAGAATTTTAGACCAATATCCCTGATGAACATTGATGCAAAAATCCTCAACAAAATACTGGCAAACCAAATCCAGCAGCACATTAAAAAGCTTATCCACCATGATCAAGTGGGCTTCATCCCTGGGATGCAAGGCTGGTTCAACATATGCAAATCAATAAACGTAATCCAGCATATAAACAGATCCAAAGACAAAAGCCACATGATTATCTCAATAGATGCAGAAAAGGCCTTTGACAAAATTCAGCAGCCCTTCATGCTGAAAACTCTCAATAAATTAGGTATTGATGGGATGTATCTCAAAATAATAAGAGCTATTTATGACAAACCCACAGCCAATATCATACTGAATGGGCAAAAACTGGAAGCATTCCCTTTGAAAACTGGCACAAGACAGGGATGCCACTCCTATTCAACACTCACCACTCCTATTCAACATAGTGTTGTAAGTTCTGGCCAGGGCAATCAGGCAGGAGAAAGAAATAAAGGGTATTCAATTAGGAAAAGAGGAAGTCAAATTGTCCCTGTTTGCAGATGACATGATTGTATATCTAGAAAACCCCATCGTCTCAGCCCAAAATCTCCTTAAGCTAATAAGCATCTTCACCAAAACCTCAGGATATAAAATCAATGTGCAAAAATCACAAGCATTCTTATACACTAATAACAGACAGAGAGCCAAATCATGAGTGAACTCCCATTCACAATTGCTACAAAGAGAATAAAATACCCAGGAATCCAACTTACAAGGGATGTGAAGGACCTCTTCAAGGAGAACTACAAACCACTGCTCAATGAAATAAAAGAGGACACAAACAAATGGAAGAACATTCCATGCTCATGGATAGGAAGAATCAATATCATGAAAATGGCCATACTGCCCAAGGTAATTTATAGATTCAATGCCATCCCCATCAAGCTACCAATGACTTTCTTCACAGGAATTGGAAAAAACTACTTTAAAGTTCATATGGAACCAAAAAAGAGCCCTCATTGCTAAGTCAATCCTAAGCCAAAAGAACAAAGCTGGAGGCATTACACTACCTGGCTATACTACAAAGGCTATACTACAAGGCTGTACTACAAGGCTACAGCAACTATACTGTACTATAGTTACAAGGCTATACTATAGTTACAAGGCTATACTATACTACAAGGCTATACTACAAGGCTATACTATACTACAAACTATACTACAAGGCTACAGTAACCAAAACAGCATGGTACTGGTACCAAAACAGAGATACAGACTAATGGAACAGAACAAACCCCTCAGAAATAATGCCACACATCTACAACCATCTGATCTTTGACAAACGTGACAAAAACAAGAAATGGGGAAAGGATTCCCTATTTAACAAATGGTGCTGGGAAAACTGGCTAGCCATATGTAGAAAGCTGAAACTGGATCCCTTCCTTACACCTTATACAAAAATTAATTCAAGATGGATTAAAGACTTACATGTTAGACCTAAAACCATAAAAACCCTAGAAGAAAACCTAGGCAATACCATTCAGGACATAGGCATGGGCAAGGACTTCATGCCTAAAACACCAAAAGCAATGGTAACAAAAGCCAAAATTGACAAATGGGATCTAATTAAACTAAAGAGCTTCTGCACAGCAAAAGAAACTACCATCAGAGTGAACAGGCAACCTACAGAATGGGAGAAAATTTTTGCAATCTACTCATCTGACAAAGGGCTAATATCCAGAATCTACGAAGAACTCAAACAAATTTACAAGAAAAAAACAAACAACCCCATCAACAAGTGGGCGAAGGACATGAACAGACATTTCTCAAAAGAAGACATTTATGCAGCCAACAGACACATGAAAAAATGCTCACCATCACTGGCCATCAGAGAAATGCAAATCAAAACCACAATGAGATACCATCTCACACCAGTTAGAATGGTGATTATTAAAAAGTCAGGAAACAACAGGTGCTGGAGAGGATGTGGAGAAATAGGAACACTTTTACACTGTTGGTGGGACTATAAACTAGTTCAACCATTGTGGAAGACAGTGTGGTGATTCCTCGGGGATCTAGAACTAGAAATACCATTTGACTCCGCCATCCTATTACGGGGTATATGCCCAAAGGATTATAAGTCATGGTGCTATAAAGACACATGCACATGTATGTTTATTGCGGCACTATTCACAATCGCAAAGACTTGGAAGCAACCCAAATGTCCATCAGTGATAGACTGGATTAAGAAAATGTGGCACATATACACCGTGGAATACTATGCAGCCATAAAAAAGACGAGTTCATGTCCTTTGTAGGGACATGGATGAAGTTGGAAACCATCATTCTCAGCAAACTATTACAAGCACAAAAAACCAAACACCACATGTTCTCAATCATAGGTGGGAATTGAACAATGAGAACACTTGGACACAGGAAGGGTAACATCACACACCGGGGCCTGTTGTGGGGTGGGGGAAGTGGGGAGGGATAGCATTAGGAGATATACCTAATGTAAATGACGAGTTAATGGGTGCAGCACACCAACATGGCACATGTATACATATGTAACTAACCTGCACGTTGTGCACCCTAGAACATAAAGTATAATATATATATATATATATATATATGTGTGTGTGTGTGTGTGTGTGTGTGTGTGTGTGTGTGAAAAGGCCTTTGATAAAATTCAACATCGCTTCATGGTAAAAAACTTTCAATATACTAGGTATTGATGGACCATATCTCAAAATGATAAGAGCTATTTATGACAAACCCACTGCCAATATCATATTGAATGGGCAAAAGCTGGAAACATTCCCTTTGAAAACTGGCAGAAGACAAGGATACCCTCTCACACTACTCCTATTCAACATAGTATTGGAAGTTCTGGCCAGGGCAATCAGGCAAGCAAAAGAAATGAAGGGTATTCAAATAGGGACAGAGGAAGTCTAATTGTCTCTTTTGGCAGACAACATAATTCTGTATTTAGAAAACCCCATCATCTCAGCCCAAAAACTCCTTAGGCTGATAAGCAACTTCATCAAAGTCTCAGGATACAAAATAAATGTGCAAAAATCACAAGCATTCCTTTATACCAGAGCCAAATCGTGAATGAACTCCCATTCACAATTGCTACAAAGAGAATAAAACACCTAGGAATACAGCTAACAAGTAATGTGAAGGACCTCTTCAAGGAGAACTACAAACCACTGCTCAAGGAAATAAAAGAGGGTACCAACAAATGGAAAAAACATTCTATCCTCATGGATCAGAAGAATCAATATCATGAAAATGGCCATATTTCCCAAGGTAATTTATAGATGCAGTGCTATTCCCATCAAACTACCATTGACATTCTTCACAGAAGTAGAAAAAACTACTTTAAATTTCATATGGAATCAAAGAAGACCCCATATAGCCAAGAAAATCCTAAGCAAAAAGAACAAAGTGGAGGCATCACGCTACCTGACTTCAAACTATACAACAAGGCTACAGTAACGTGTACAAACTATACAACAAGACTACAGTAACAAAAACAGCATGGTACTGTTACCAAAACAGACATATAGACCAATGGAACAGAACAGAGACTTCAGAAATAACAATACACATCTACAACCATCTGATCTTCGACAAACCTGACAAAAACAAGCAATGGGGAAAGGATCTCCTATTCAATAAATGGTGCTGGGAAAACTGACCAGCCATACGGAGAAAATTGAAACTGGACCCCTTCCTTACACCTTACACAAAAATTAACTCAAGGTGGCTTAAAGACTTAAATGTAAAACCCAAAACCATAAAAACTCTAGAAGAAAACCTAGGCAATACCATTCAGGACATAGGCATGTGCAAAGATCTCATGATGAAAATTCCAAAAGCATTGCAACAAAAGCCATAATTGACAAATGGGATCTAATTAAACTGAAGAGCTTCTGCAGAGCAAAAGCAACTATCATCAGAGTGAACATGCAACCTACAGAATGGGAGAAAAATTTTGCAATCTACTAATCTGGTAAAGGTCTAATATCAAGAACCTAGAAGGAACTTGAACAAATTTACAAACAAACAAGCAAACAACCCCATCAAAAAGTGGACAAAGGATATGAACAAACACTTCTCAAAAGAAGACATTTATGTGGCCAACAAACGTTATGAAAAAAGTTCACCATTACTGATTATTAGAGAAATGCAAATCAAAACCACAATGAGATACCATCTCATGCCAGTCAGAATGGTGATTATTAAAGTCAAGAAACAATAGATGCTGGAGAGGCTGTGGAGAAATAGGAATGCTTTTACACTGTTGGTGGGAATGTAAATTAGTTCAACCATTGTGGAAGACAGTGTGGTGATTCCTCAAGGATCTAGAACCAGAAATACCATTTGATCCAACAATCGCATTACTGGGTATATACCCAAAGGAATATAAATCATTCTACTATAAAGACACATGCACATGTATGTTTATTGCAGCACTATTTACAATAGCAAAGACATGGAACCAACCCAAATGCCCATCAATGATAGACTGGATAAAGAAAATGTACTACATATACACCATGGAATACTATGCAGTCATAAAAAACAATGAGATCATATCATTTCAGGGACATGGATGAAGCTGGAAGCCATCATCCTCAGCAAGCTAACACAGGAACAGAAAAACAAGCACCACATGTTCTCACTCTTAAGTGGGGGTTGAACTATAGGAACACATGGACACAGGGAGGGGAACAACACAAACCTGGGCCTGTCAGGGGGTAGGGCGCACAGGGAGGGAGAGCATTAGGACAGATAGCTAATGCATGCTCAATTTTAGAGCATCTTAGATGAGATACTTTCTGTTCTAAGGAGTACATATCCTTATAAGAGACAGTCATGTTAACAAATGTAATTGATTATATCATATAAATATTTAGAAAAAGCCACTGATTGTAAAATATATCCATTGTTTACTATGTTTTCTTAAATTATATCACTCAAAAAAGGCATTGTTTCAAGAAAATTCATGTCTTCCTCAAAAGCGTTTGAATTATTCTAGAAATACAAGACACACAACAAATGCTACTTCAATGACTATATCCATGAGCCCCTATATAACTCTATCAATGACTCATAAAATACTTGTTTTGGCATACACTCTAGCCTCTAATTAGAGTATCAGACTGAGACTAAAATATAGAGAACTTGGGTAACAAAATATAGTACTAAATAAAGATCATGGTTTCTACAGTCCTAGGAATAGATAATTCATGAGAGAACAGAAGAAACCTAGTTACTTGCACAGGACTAAAACTAATTTTCCTGACTCAGGCCATTGCCCCTCTTACTGTATTCAGCTGCCTCTTTCAGACTAACTGGAGATTGCTGGAAAATTATCCATTTTTCATTTTACTCTACATATTCATTTCACTAACATGTAAATTCTACGTGATTTTTAGAATTTTTTTGTCACTAAAACAGAATGACATATAGCAAAGTCAGGAAATTTGGGACATAAATGTTCACATAATTATTTATTTCACTTTTTTAGTATTTATGGAAATATTATTCACATAAAAACTAACAAAATATACTAACCTTATGAAATGTCCAGAGATGTCACTTATACCTGTGTTGAGATCTACCTCTAATGCGAGTAAGGAATCCTCATCTATTTTAAGGGGAAAAGCCACTATGGAGGAGAGAATTGATGTTTCTGGGATAAATGGACAATGGAGAAAAAGTAGCCAAGGCCTCTAATCTGAAGTTACAAAGCCCCCAAAGAGTTATCTGATTCATGAATCTCTAAATATCAGTGAAGAGGAGCACACACTACAATTAATCACCTTAACTTGACATTTTCATGTTCTTACTCTCCTTAACTTGACATTTCTATTTTCTATTTCACAAGAAACTAGCATATGACCATCAACTGAGAAAGAAGTATGTAAGAGGCTAGCAGGAAATCTATTTTCAAACCCCTAAATGGTTCTTGAGTTTAGCTCCAAACTGCTTGGCTGAAAACCTGACAGTTTTAATATTAACCTAAGGGCTTAAAAGGTAATTCTTGTCCTTCAGATTGCTTCAAGCATTATTCATAGGAGAATGCTTTCTTAACCCTGACACACTCAGATGGGACATCTCATTTGAGAAGCTGTTTGGAGTCTCTTGATTTAACTTTAACACTTGTATGATTTGTATTGTAGTTCATAAATGTACACAATAAAACAAAAATTTTAATAATTTACCATTTAAGTAAGATGGATGTATAAGGAAGATCTCTGTTTATCCGGTGACTTCAGATACTTCCTCCCTCCTGTCAGTATGATTTATGGGATATTAGCACCTCCATTTAAGAAGTCCTCATTATCAGGTTCTCCTGAACTAATCACACCTCAGAGCATTGGGCTCTTTCTCACCTCTTTAATGAGCTCCTGCTTCTCCCTAGGCATGAAATTGTCATTTCCTCTATGAAATCTTTCTTTCTGTCCCTCAGGAAAAAAACTCTGGAGTTGTACTTTCCTTCTGCTCTCACATCCCATTTTCAGTCAGGAAATCATATGGGCGTTGCATTAATAATATATCTGCCAACCATCTATATTTTATACCTTCACTGCTATGACCTTGGCCTCCCATACCATGTCTCCTGTAGATTACCATCACAACATTCTCTTAATTGGTCTCTCTGCTCTCACTTGTTTCTCCTCCAGTCCATTCTAATGCAACATATCTCATTCTTTTTAAGGCATTATTAGTCAGGCCGTGTCCCTCTCTGCTAAATCACTGCAATGACTCCTCATTTCACTTCATATAAAGATTTAAATTCTAACAATATAAGGCCCCGTGCCTCCTGACCTCCTGCTACTACCTGACTTCCACATTCTACTATGTTCCCCTTGCTATTCCATACCAGACATCCTAGAAATTCTCTGGCCAAGGCAGGCCTGTGTTTTATCTCTTGGCGAGGTATATGATGGGAGCATGGCAGAAGGGTAGTTTTATGACTTATACACACGCTGAAAGTCAAGGTGTTATTAGGCATAAATGGAATTTATTTTTTAAACATGTGGCTCTTAAGTAGGTCTCTTGATGGCATAGATAAGATAGTGGACATGTATAAATACATTTGTTTCAAGTTGGGATTTAGTGAAATTACTTACTAAGTGATCACATGTTTTCACAACACATGTAACTAATTTTATAAGATAATTAATTCAAGAATGTTACCATCCCTCCAGCTCTTTCTACAGAATCATAAAGACAATTCAATCTATTTTCAGGATAAGGGACCCTGCCTTACTATCCTGGGACAAAAGATTTGTATCATAATGAAGATTTAGAGAAAATGACAAGGAAAAAATGAACAAAAAATAATCCCAGGAGTAGTAGTTTGTAAATGTTTTTGAAAGGAACAACGGTGCTATATAGCCATTAGATCAAGGAGAGGACGGCACAAAACAGGTAAAAAGCATTTTGTGGGAGACTTATTTTTCCCTCATGGTGTTTGGGAAAATACAAGTAAAGGATGTTATTAATTTGAAATCTGCACTGTGTCTTCTTTTAACTGGAATACCTCTCTGGGACTGAACCACTTGATTCATATTCTATTATAATCAAATTTTGAAATTTAGATTTTATTATAGTTTCACCAATTTATAGTGACTCTGCAATACACTTGAATATGTGCAAATGCATAATTTGAAAGTGGGAAATGTGCTCAGTTACCCATGAGCTGACAGGACACTCAGCTGGTGAGAAAGCCAAATGCCAGCACATTTCACCTCTGCTTCTACTTATTATCACATGCCCATGTAGCAGTGTGGTCGATGTAATTTGGGGATGGGAAATTCAGTAACTTGATGTATGACAAATATCTAAATACAGTTTTCTCAAGAATGTAAAAACTGTATTTTACTTACAATTATTTCAGTACCTCCAACAACCAAATCAGACTAGTCAGAAAACATACAGATTGCTTTATAATTGGCCAGGATTTGCTGAAGAGCCACATTGGACACTTAGAGGTATAGAATGGTTTCCAATGTAGATGGACCATATCTGAAAAGTTAAAGAGAATTGTTGATATTATCTCAATATTCTTTTAATTTTTATCAAAGCTACATATTTACATAATTTAAAAATTTGAATCATGATCTAAGCCACCATCAGCTCTCATCTGGATTAGTACAAAATGGCCTCTTAACAGATCTCCTTGTTTCCACCATTTTTCTCTGTCAATGCAGCCATCAGGGTGACCATGTTAAAAATGTAAACACTTCATGTCCCTCTTTGCTCTAAGCTCTCCATCTCACACAGAGTAAAGTCCATAGTGCTTTCTAATAAACTGAATTATCCTGCACTGTGTTGCCTCTAGTTCCCTCTCTGATTTCACCTCTGACTCCTCCCTCCTTAGTCAGGCTTCTAGAGCCACACTGGCCACTTAGCATCCTCCCCTTAGTGCTTTGTCCCACTTAAGCCTTTTCAAAGTCTGGTCCCTGGGTCAGTACTGTCAGAATCATCTGGGAACTTATTAGAAATGCAAATTCTCGAGCCCACCTGAGATCTACTGAATTAGTTATTTTGGGGATGGAGCCTGGAAATCTCTGTTTATCAAGCTCTCCAGATAACTGAGATGCAGGCTAAAGTTTCAGAACTGCCTTAATTGTTTCCTCTGCTTAAAATATTTTCCGTCAGTACTTTAGGTGGGGTTCTTTAGAAAACAGAGCTTGAGACAGGGGTTCTTACTAACTGATTTGCTGAGGGAGTGCTCACGGTAAAATCTGTAAGGAAACAAGGGAGAAGGATAAAGAAGGGGAAGAAGCTAAGTCTTAGTGGAATCCCACAGGGAGCTCTGAAGTATGAGTGTTACACCTGGAGAAAAGTCCAGTTTTTGTAGTCCAAAATCAGTCAGTCAACTATTGTGAGCTGCCCTGTGAGAAGATAATAAACTGTCAGACATTACAGAGGTGACGTGCTTTCTATCAGCCAAGGGTGAGCTCAGGAGGAGCATACAGCTGTGATTTCTTAGCAGTCAACACTCGAAGCTGCTGAAAGCTGGCTGCACCAGCCTGTTAAACTGGGTCTGAGCAGGGCACCAATAGGTAGTACTATATCCAGATGCATCCCCGACTCTCTCTTACTCGGATTCTTCTTAATTACTCATAAGATAATGGTTACCTTTAAACAGTGATAATTCTTTCTGACCAAGAAATAAGAATCAAGGCTGAAATATAGTGGAGCATACATGTTTACCTCTGCTCTCTCCAGAAACCATATTCAAAAGAAAATAGCGGAACACTGACTTTTCCTTAGGTCAAATATCATTGTGTTAGTGAGGCCGTCTCTTACCACCCTATCTAAAACAGCAACACCCTGTTCTCCTCCTAATACTTTTTTTTTAGGTCAGGCTTATTGATGAATAAAATTCATATAGTAAAATTTACTAATTTTCTAAGGGTACAGTTCTATAAGTTTTTACAAATGTACAATTGTGTAAATTATTAACAAAGTCAAAAAATGTAAGAGTTACTTTGCCACAAGAAATTCTCTTTTGCCCATTTTCAACCAGATCTCTTCTTATCTCTAGCCTCTGGTAACAATTGAACTTTTTTCTGTTCTATCATTTTGCCTTTTCCAGAATGTTATATAAATGGAATCATGCAGTATGTAGCCCCTTGAGTCTAGCTCTTTTCACTCAGCATAATGCATTTGAGATTTGCCCATGTTATTGCATCTATCAAGACTCCATTCCCTTTTATTGGTAACTAGTATTTCATTGTATGGATGTACCACACTCTGTTTATCACTCACCAGTTGAAATGTATTAGGTTCTTCTCACCCCCTAGTTTTGGCAATTATAAAGAAAGCTGCTATAAACATTTGCCTACAGGAGTTTGTGTAAATTTAAATTTTCATTATTTTTGTGTGTATATGATTGTTGCATCATATGGCGCTATGAATTGAACGTTTGCATTCCCCAAAAATTCATAAGTTGAAGCCTGAATACTCCATGTGACACTATTTGGACGTGGGGCGTTTGTAAGGTAATTAGGTCATGAGAGTAGAATCTTCAGGAATGGATTACTGCCCATTAAGAAGAGACATGAGAAAAATGGTCTCTTTCTGCTCTCCACCATGCGAGGACACAGTAAGAAAATGCCCAAGAGGAAACCATGAAGTGGGCCCACACCAGACCCTGGATCTGCCAGTGCCTGAATCTTGGACTTCCCAGCCTCTAGAACTGTGAGAAATAAATTCTACTGTTTAAGCCACTCAGTTTATAGTATCTTTTATTGCAGCCTGAGCCGACTAAGATATAGGATAAGTGTGTTTTTAACTTTGTAAGAAACTACTCAACAGTTATCCAAAGAACTTGTACTATTTGGTCATCCAAACCAGGAATGTAAGAGAGCTCCAGCTGCTATGCATTCTTACTAACACTTGGTATTGTGAGGTTATTTTTTTTCAGCCATTCTAACAGGTGTGTGGTAGTACTGGTGAGGTCCTTCCCCACATGATTAATGATGTTGAGCATCCTTTTGTGTAGTCCTTTCCCATCTATATATCTTCTTTAGTAAAGTATTTGGTTAAATCTTTCCCATTTTTAGAATTTAAAATTTTAATTTTGAGCCACAGAAAAGTTGCAAAAATAGTTGAGTTTTCTGTTATCTTTGATCTCACTTCTATTAACATCTTTCATAATCATAATAATATAATTATCCAGAACAAGAAATTGTCATTGGTACAGGATCATTAACTAAGCTATACTCCTTATTTGAACTTTTCTAATCTTCCTATTGGAATGTTGTTTATCTGTTCCAGAATCCTATTTTGGATTCCACATTACATTTAATTATTTTTTCCTCTTTAGTACTTTTCAGTCTGTAATAGCTCCTCGTTCTTTCCTTGTTTTTCATAATTTTCACAGTTTTAAATAACACTTCAGTTATTTTGCCGAAGGTCCCTCAATTTAACAAAAAAAAAGTTTTCCCATAATTCAAATGAGGTTATGCATTTGTTAAAGAATGTCTCATTTTTAATTAGTTGTTTGTTTCTTTAAATTGCTGAGGTTTGGGGGTCTTTTAATGATAAATTGTGCAAATATTTCTCCAAGTTTGTTGCTTGTTTTTTTATTTTTTTAGTGTCTTTTCAAAATGCAGAAGTTTTTAATTTTTTTAAATCTAATTTATCCTTTCTTTTCTTTCATAGATCGTGCTTTTTGTATCTTATCTAAATAATCTTTGCCTGACTCAAGATCACAAAGATTTTCTCCCATGTTTTCTATAGAAGTTTTATGCTTTGGGGTTTACATTTAGATTTTTGGCTCTGCAATCCATTTTTGCTTCATGTTTGTGTGATGTATGTGTCAAAGTTTATTTTAAAACATTCCAAAATTGATATTACATATATACTCTTTTTAGAATTCAAGAGGAAAGGTTTTAAGGACCCCAGAAATAGAAAAAAAAACCCAATAAAAATAATGAATTTAACAGTAACTCATGGACAAGGCAATCATCAACCCCCACTCCTTCTCTGTTCCTGCTGTAGGCCATGGGGCCAAAGCCATAACCAATTCTTAGGGATCAAAGCTTGCCAGCAACCAGACAAAAGGGATATGTGTGTGTGTGTGTGTGGCAAGAGGGGGATTTTTCTACTGCATAAACATCAATTTTTAGCAATTATTTTTTCTATTATTTGGCAATTATAAAATCAAAACTTTTATATGTATGAATTAGAAGAAAAAAAACTTTAGATACTATCTATACCAATGTACTCATATTATAGAAAAGTAAATGGAGTCTAGGTGATGCGAAGTGACTTGCCCAGACCATACAGCTGGTTAATGTGTGGGTTACAGCTTTTTTTTTTTTTTTTTTTAGCAGTAGCAAGGTTTATTGTGAAGAGTGAAAGAACAAAGCTTCCACAGCGTGGAAGGGGACCCAAGCGGGTTGCCCGGGTTATATCATTAATATATGCCAATCAGTTCATAAATCTGCGCACTTCCTATCATACCACAGAATACCAGTACCAACAGAAAGCAAGTATCAGCAAAGGCAATTATTTTCTTCTTCCTAATATGTACGCATAGTTAACAAAAATAAATTAAAATCCTGAAGTACAAAACAGTTTGATGTCTTTTCTGGCTGGAACCATGAAGGGTGCTGAAGAGAAGAAAAAGAAGGTTCCTGCTGTGCCAGAAACTTTTAAGAAAGAGCAAAAGAATTTCACAGAGCTGAAGATCAAAATGCCTAAGAAGGAAAATATGCTTCAAAAGGCAAGGAGGAAGCTTATCTATGAAAAAGCTAAGCACTATCACAAGGACTATAGGCAGATGCCCATAACTGAGATTCAAATGGCTAGGCTGGCAAAAAAAGCTGGCAACTGCTATATACTGGCAGAACCCAAATTGGCATTTGTCATCAGGGTCAGAGGTATCAATGGTGTGAGTCCAAAAGGTGTTGCAACTCTTTTGCCTTTGCCAGATTTTCAACAGAAACTTTGTTAAGCTCAAGGCCTCAATGAATATGCTGAGGCTTTAGAACCACATATTGCAGGGGGGTACCCGAACCTGAAGTCAGAAAATAAACTAATATATAAGCATGGTTATGGCAAAATCAGTAAGAAGTGAATTGCCTTGACAGATAACACTTTGATTTCTTGATCTCTTGATAAATCTGGTATCATCTGCATGAAGAATCTGATTCATGAGATCTATACAGCTGGAAAATACTTCAAAGAAGCAAATAACTTCTTATGCCCTTCAAGTTATCTTCTCCACAGAATAAAGAAAAAGGCCACCCATTTGTAGGTGAAAATGCCAGCAACAGGGAAGGCTAGATCAATAGGCTTATTAGAAAGATAAAACAAGGTATCTACCATGATTATTGTTGTAATCTCATCAGTTAATAGACAATGACTGCTTTCAAATTGAAAAAAAAATACCAGCTTGAAAAAAATATCCACATGCAGATTGTACATGCAGATTGGGTGATGCTGACCTAATTATTGAGGTTGATCTGGCTTAAGAGGTTTCCAGGCCCGAAAGCATTATGACAAACTCAACTTTTTCTCATATGTGACAACTGAAGCATGAAAAGTGTAAGATCATCTAGGGAGAGTGCTGTTATCTTTGGAGTTAGCAATAGTCCATTGAGCAACATCAAATTTATTCCAAAGTAGCTTTCATTTGATTCAATCTACTAGTAGAGAGAGTAATTTTGTTGCTTAAAAAATTATTTGATATGACTTGGAAACTGCTATGATTTTTAAAGCTGTTCCCATTTCTTCCTTTATCTCCAGCCCCTCACTCCTTTCTGACACTATCTTTAGAGGAGCTTTCTGAAGCTTCCAGAACTTCTTGCAAAGAATGAGGTACCAGATATATGTTCAATAGTACCAACTAGTTCACTCAGGTGAAGGGAAGCTGTGCACTTAGCATCCTTAATTCCTGTTTTCTCTCTGTACAACCATAGCTTTCCCCTTTCTTCATCATTTCCCTCATGTATTCTCTCCTCTTCACTAATGAGCTCTTCTTTTCCTTCCCTCCTCTCTGTCTTCTCCGTTCTTATGTCAGTGACAAAAACTGATATTTCTGGACCATTGCAGAATGAACAAATAATGCAGTCAAAGGAATACATGGAAAGTAGGAGACGTATTCCTGGTATTTACTTTCTTCTTATTTTAAATATCTTTGATATAATAATTATTATGTAGGCAGATTTACTGAGTGGTTCCTCTGAATTTTTAAAGAATTTTTAAAGCTTCATATTTATTGATTTCTCAAATTATCATTGTCTAATCCTATCTCACCTAACTTCAGGTATCTAATCTCTAGCGACTGCCGTAAGTTATTCTGAGACACCTGTTGAAGGCCTCCATGTTTCTTACTCTGTCATGGCTCAGCCGGGCTTTGAATCACTGATCTGTCTTGTCCCGAGAGCATGTTTGGCATCACCAAGATCCCCTCCTTCAGCAGTCTGGTTTTTGTTTGTTTGTTTTGTTTTTAATTTAGCTTAAATTTTAGGTTTCTTCTTTACAAAATCACAAAGCAGAACTCCATGAAGGGAAGAGAGTGGTGGGGCTATGGGATTAGGGGTTAGTAAAGAGGGGGAAGAGAAAGGCCCAGAAAAGAAGCCACTTACACACTGGGGACCAAGCAGAGACTGAGCACCAGCCCAGCAGGGCCTCCATGTCCTGTTTTCACAGAGCTGGGCCAAAAGGCCTCAGAGAAGGGTTTCAGTCCTCTAGAGACTGTAGCCATTTGACAGAGCAGCTGCAGGCTGTGGCTTCTGGCAAAGCCCCAGGAAGCAGGCTTGCCTCCTCTCTTCATCTCCCCTTCTCCAGGCCAGAGAGCAGGCAGCCTCAGCCTGAGGCAGGGGTTGCGGGATACCCATCCAGCAACTTCAGGATGCTGTAGTGCTCCGTCAGAGTCTTCCAGGCCTGGTCTTTATTGGTGGGCGTCCACTTCTTCTGTAGGCGGCCGTAATCCCATGGAAGTCCTCCTTGTCCTCAGTGCCTGCCTGAGGATCCCCCGCCTCAGCTCCTGCTTTGAGGGCCTCAGCAGGTCGGGCCTCTAGGTGCGGTTAAGGGCGCTCGGCGCCAACTGAGCTCGACCTGGCGTTTGCACAGCCTGTTCACCGAGGATCTTATGCTTTGAGCCTGCTTCCTAATGGTCTGAGCTCAGATTCCAGTCGGCCCTGGGGGATCAGCCTCTCCCTGACGCAGGCCAGGGACTTTTATGAGGACCCTGAAGGGCTTGTTCTAACTGCTGAGATAGGTGAAGTGCCTTCAGCCTGGGAGGCTTTCCCCGCGGGGTCACTAACAGGAAAGTCCTCTGCAAGGAAACAGTGTTTTCCCAGGGGAAAACAGGCAAATGGAAATAAAATTCTAGTTTTATTTGTGGCTGGAGATTTGTCTATGTTTTTGTATGCATTAGCTGTTTAATCACTGTCATTATTCTACAAGAGTATTCCATTGTGAGAACACACCAAAACTTATGTATCCATTTTATTGTTTTTGCTTGTTTTTGTTTCTTTTTTGTAGAGATGGGGTCTTGCTATGTTGCCCAAGCTGGTCTCCGATTTATAGCCTCATGCGATCCTCCCACCTTGGCTTCCCAAAGTGTTGGAGTTACAGGCCTGAGCCATGGGGCCAGGCCTCCATTTTATTGTTGATAACATTTGGTTTATTTCCATTTTGGGATATTGTGAATAATGTTGCTCTGAACATTCTGTATATTCCTAGGAATTTAATTGCTAAGTCACATAGTAGATATATGTTTAGCTTTAGTAGATATTTCCAGGCCACTCTCCAAATGATTGTGCCATTTTACAGCAGTGTTTAAGAGTTTTGTTTTTCTGTATGTTGACCAAGTTTGTATTGTCAATCATTTTTCTTTGGGCCATTCTAGTATGTATGTTAGGGTATTTCTTTCTGTTTTTTTTTTTTTTTTTTTTTTTTGAGGTGGAGTCTCACACTGTTGCTGGAGCTGGAGTGCAGTGGCACAATCTTGGCTCACTGCAACCTCTGCCTCACAGGTTCAAGTGATTCCCCTGCCCCACCCTCCCAAAGCAGTGGCACAATCTTGGCTCACTGCAATCTCCACCTCACAGGTTCAAGTGATTCTCCTGCCCCACCCTCCCAAGTAGCTGGGATTACAGGTGCCTGCCACCACGTCTGGCTAATTTTTTGTATTTTTAGTAGAGACAGGGGTCTGTTAGGGTATTTCTATGATCCCTGATGGCTAATGAGGTTGAACATCTTTTTCTGTTTATCAGAGAGATTTGAATTTCTTCTCTTGCAAAGTACCTATTCAAGTCTTTTGCTCATTTCTAAATTTGCTTGTCTGTATTTTTAAAATCAATTTGTAGAAATTCTTTGTATATTACAATCCCTTTGAAGTTCCTGATTTTAATATAATTCAATTTACCAGCCTTTTCCTTTAGGATCATGCTTTGTGTGCTCTGTTTAAGAAATCTTTGCTTACTCTAAGTTCTTGAAAATATTATGTTTTCCTCTAGAAGCTTTATTGTTTTGCCTTTTACATTAAGATCAGCACTTCACCTGAATTATTGTTATAGTGTACAAAACAGGATATAAGATATACATAATGTATGTAATCTCTAATTGTTTTATTGTAAACCCCAAAGTTTTCCCCATATGGCACTGTCATTTTATCAAATCAGATGACCATACATGTATGACTCTGCTTCTAGACTCTCTAGTTTATTTCGTTAGCATATTTTTCTATCCTTGCAAAAATCTTTCACTGTCTTAAGTACTGTAATTTTATAATTCTTGATATTTAATAGGGTAAATCCTCCAATATTAATACTTTTGAAAACAATTTTCTTCACTATTTTTTACCACTAGCAATTCTATATAAAATTTAGATTCAACTTATAACTTTTTTACAAAAAAGGATTTTAATTGGGATTGTATTAATTGTATAGTTCAATTTGGGTAAAACTGATATCAACAATACCAAGTCTTCAATCATGAACATCTATAGTTCTCCTCACAGTTTGATTGTTTTAATGTTTCAAAATAGTATTTTAATACACAGGTTTGACACATTTTTTGCTAGGTTTATTTCAAGGTATTTCATACTTCTGATGCTACTGTAAATGTTTTTAATTTTTTAAAATGTTTATTCTTTAACTTTTGATTATGGAAAATTTAACAGAGGTACAAAGTAGAGAAAAATAATACAATGAATCCCAACCTACTTATCAGCTACCTTCAGCAGTCATCAATTCATGGCTAATTTTGTTTAATCTATACCTCAGACTTTCTCCCCTGCACTGAATTATTTTGAAGCAAATCTAAAATATATATTTTCTTTTGTAAATATTTCACCATACATCTCTAAAAGGATTTCTTAAAACAACACAACTATACTTCTGAAATATTATTACTAAAATATTTTTAACATTTAATATCATCAAATAACCAATTATCGTTCAAATTTTTTAAACTACCTCATGCTTTTCTCTCCCACAGTTTTGTGCTTAAGATCCAAATAAGAGTCACATGTTGCCTTTTGTTTCCATTTTGTGAATTTAATCCATTGATGCCTTTTCCTCTTTAAGTATTTTTTCTAATTTTTAAACTAAAAACATTATACAGTAAAACTGACTTTTAAAAATTTGGTGTACAGTTTATACATTTTTAACATATTTTTATATAATTTTTACATATATATGTAACATATATAAGATACATATATATACACATATATACATATATATATACACACATATATATATATACACACACACACACACATATATATATATATATATATATATATATATACACACACACATATATATATATATATATCAGGATGCCTTTAGTTTCATCACCAGGAAGATCTCCCTTATGCTATCCCCAGTCATACTTCTTTTCCTACTCCCTGGCAATCACTAATCTGCTTTCTATCACTGCTGTGTTCTCTTTCTGAGAATGTCATATAAATGGAATCTTAGAGATTCATCAGTTGATTGTGTTTATCAATTGTGCATTCTCTTTCCTTGCTAAGTGAGATTCCATTGCACCCTCATTACCCTCTTCCCTATACACTCTCCATCAAATCATGTATACAACCAGTGAAAAATAACTCAATCTCTTTTTACCTTTTTTTCATTCCCCGCCTCCCCATCTCTCATATATGCTACCTTCTGTTCTCTACAACCACTTAGCATTCACTGGGTAAACCTGTGATCTGACATAAGCACTGGGAGTCATATGTTATGCTTATTTATCTTCAGGAATAGTTACAATAGTTCCCGCCTGGAGAAGACACTTATATTTCACCTAGGCCCCTATTCTTCCCTTTGTCACCTATAGGTCTCTTAGAAAACTAGAAAACATGCTAAGTTTTTTTGTGGAATGATGCCTGCTATTGCCCCGAAGAAACAAGATCTTTTTCTATACCAGCTAAATCCTCTGCCCACTGCCCCTCCACCACCCTGCAACTACGCTAGCTTCTAAAAACATCCAATTTTGATTACCACATAAATATTGAATATTCCACTGTGGTCTGAGAGAGTACTTGATATAATTTCAGTTTTCTTACATTTACTGAGACTTGTTTTGTGGCCTATCATATGGTCTATCTTGAAGAATGTTCCATGTGCTGATGAATACAGTGTATATTCTTCAGTTGTTGGGTAGAATATTCTGTAAATATCTGTTAAATACGTTTGTCATAGGGTATAGTTTAGGTCCATTGTTTCTTTGTTGATTTTCTGTCTTGATGACCTATCTAGTGCTGTCAGTTGAGTATTAAAGTTCCCCATTATTATTGTGTTGCCATCTCTCTCATTTCTTAGGTCTAGTCGTAATTGTTTCATAAATTTGGGATCTCCAGTGTAAGGTGCGTATATATTTAGAATTGTGATATTTTCCTGTTGGAATGGGCCTTTTATCATTATATAATGTCTCTCTTTGTCTTTTTTAACTGCTGTTGCTTTAAAGTTTGTTTTGTCTGACATAAAAATCCTACTCCTGCTAGCTTTTGGTGTCCATTTGCATGGAATATCTTTTTCCACTGCTTTACCTTGAGTTTCTGTGAGATCTTATGTGTTATGTTAGGTGAGTCCCCTGAAGACAGGAGAAATTTGGTTGGTGAGTTCTTACCCATTCTGCCATTCTGTATCTTTTAAGTGGAGCATTCAGGCCATTTACATTCAATGTTATGAATGTAAATGAATACCTTGTTTTTTATTCATTGTGTTATTATTATACAGGTCCTGTGAGATTTATGCTTTAAGGAGGTTCTATTTTGGTGTATTCAAAGGATTTGTTTCAAGATTTAGAGCTCCTTTTAGCAGTTCTTGTAGTGCTGGTTTGGTAGTGACAGATTCTCTCAGCATTTGTCTGGAAAAGACTGTATCTTTCCTTCATTTATGAAGCTTAGTTTTGCTGGATACAAAATTCTTAGGTGATAATTGTTTTGTGTAAGGAGGCTAAAAATAGGTCTCCAATCCTTTCTAGCTTGTAGGGTTTCTGCCGAGACACCTGCTGTTAATCTGATAGGTTTTCCTTAATAGGTTATGTGATGCTTTTACCTCACAGCTCTTAAGATTCTTTCCTTTGTCTTGACTTTAGATAACCTGATGACTATGTGCCTAGGCAATGATCTTTTTGCAATTAATTTCCCAGTTGTTCTTTGACCTTCTTGTATTTGGATGTCTAGATCTCTAGCAAGGCTGAATAAGTTTTCCTTGATTATTCCCCCAAATATGTTTTCCAAACTTTTAGATTTCTCTTCTTCCTCAGGGACACCAATTATTCTTAGGTTTGGATGTTTAACATAGTCCCAAACTTCTTGGAGGCTTTGTTCATTTTTTAAAATTCTTTTTTCTTTGTCTTGTATGGATGGGGTTAATTCAAAAGCCTTGTTTTCAAGCTCTGAAGTTCTTTCTTCTGCCTGTTCGATTCTATTCCTGAGGCTTTCCAGTACATTTTGCATTTCTCTAAGTGTGTCCTTGATTTCCAGAAGTGGTAATTGTTTTTTGCTTATGCTCTCTATTTCACTAAGAATTTTCCTTTCTTATTCTACATCATGTTTTTGATTTCTTGAAGTTGGACTTCACCTTTCTCTGGTTCCTCCTTAATTAGCTTAATAATCAACTTTCTGAATTCTTTTTCTAGCAATTCAGAGATTTTGTCTTGGTTTGGATCCATTGCTGGTGAGCTGGTATGATCTTTTGGGGTGTTAAAGTAACTTTTTTTGTCATATTACCAGAATTGTTTTTCTGGTTCCCTCTCATTTAGGTAGACTATGTCACAGGGAATATCTGGGATTCAAGGGTAGCTGTTCAGATTACTTTGTCCCATGGGGTGCTCCCTTGGTGTGGTGTTCTCCTTCTTCCCCTGGGAATGGGGCTTCCTGAGAGCCAAACTGTAATGATCGTTTTTGCTCTTCTGGGTCTAGCCATCCAGTGGAGGTACTGGGCTCTAGGCTGGTACTGGGGAGTGTCTGCAAAGAGAACTGTGATGTGATCCATCTTCAGGTCTTGCAGCTGTGGATACCAGCACTGCTCTGGTGGAGGTAGCAGGGGAGTGAAGTGGGTTCTGTGAGGATCTTCGGTTTTTCTGCGTCTCTTCTAAGATATGTTTGCCTAGCCTGAAGTTAGAAAGACTTTCTCCTCTGTTTTCTTCTAGAAGTTTTATAGTTTAAGATTTTAGACTTAATTCTATGACTAATTTCAAATTAAATTTTATATCTGATGTAATGTAGAGGTTAAAGTTCGTCTTTTTTAAAATTATGCTGTCCATTTCTGAAAACAATCCTTCACTCTGTGGAATTACTTAAGCATCTTTGTTAAAGATCAACTGACTACATAGGTGTGGTCTAGTTCCAAACTCTGTACTGCTCCATGGATGTAGACATCTTTTTATGCTAATACCGCACTGTCTTAGTTAATGCAGGTTTGTGGTAAGTCTTGCAATTAGGTAGTGTAAATTCTATAAAATTTTTTAAAATTGTTTTGGCAATTGTAATTTTATAAAAATTTTAGAATTAATATAACAATTTCTAGGGTAAGAAAAAAAGAGCCCAGGGGATTTTGATTAGAATTGCTATGAATATTTGAATAAATTTGGGAAGAGTGGATATCTTAATAATATTGCATCTGCCAATGTGAACGTATTTATCTGTATTTTTAAGTATTTAAATATTTTCATAATATTGAAAATGGCATAATATTTTCAATTTCATTTTGCAATTGATGACGCTAGTACATAAAAATATAATTTATATTGACCTATTCTGTGGCATGCCAAAATTATATCATTATTTCTAGCACCTTGGATAATTTAACTTTCTGCCAGAGAGGATTTACTTTTGCTTTTGACAGCTAGGGTATTAGTATTTCTAGATCACTTTAGTACATTAGTAATCATTATGATTCAAAGCTGGACTACAGCTCCTAAATAAGTGATCAATTTTCATTTTAACCTTATTCTTGGGGTACAGTACTCTGGGGTTACAACCCAAAGGCTGAGGATTGAGGCTTATCAGAGGAAACTTCCTGTTGGTGGACTGAATTCCAATTTCTATTCTCCATTAATTGGGGGGCTTTTAGCCATACTTCCCCAATAAGTAGATGTTGCTGGGATGTAGATACATACAGCACCCTCTCACTTCTTCAGGTTTCCTTTTTTTTTTTTTTTTTTTTGAGACAGAGTCTCGCTCTGTCGCCCAGGCTGGAGTGCAGTGGCATGATCTCGGCTTACTGCAACCTCTGCCTCCCGGGTTCAAGCGATTCTCCTGCCTCAGCCTCCCGAGTAGCTGGGACTACAGGTGCACACCACCACGCCCAGCTAATTTTTGTATTTTTAGTACAGACAGGGTTTCACCATGTTGGCCAGGATGGTCCCGATCTCTTGACCTCGTGATCCACCCGCCTCAGCCTCTCAAAGTGCTGGGATTACAGGCGTGCGCCACTGCACCCGGTAGGGTTTCCTTTTCTTGACTGAAATTCTTCATTGTGTTTTTAGCTTTCCATTGTCTGCAATCAGATACTTTTTATGCTTTTTCCAGATCTAAGTTATTTAGTCCACCATTATCAGAGACTTCCAATTTATTCTTTAAATATCAACATGAGTAATACTTCTGAATTATTATCCCATTATATTTGCCTTCTTTGAAGGATCATTTGAAACCACTGAAGTAATGTTTAAGTCATATTAACATTCCGGAGCTCTTTAAAAAGATATCTCTAAAGATGTATCTATTCTCAGTACTATTTTAGTGCCAAGGTTTACCAAAGAAAACAAGGACTTCTTCATAGCCTCAACTATAATTTTGCAAGTTATTATTTACCTTCCCTAGCAGCATTCATAATAACCTATACACATATTTTATTTCTCTATCTGTATGTTTAATTTATATTTGTGTTACTGGTGGAGGGGGTCCAGGTTCTTGGCATTTTGAACAAAGAATTGGACAAAATGCACAAAGAACGGAAAGAATGAAGCAGCAAAAGCAGAGATTTATTGAAAACAAAAGTATACTCCACAGGGGGGAGCAGGCCTGAACAAGCGGCTCAAAACCCTGGTTACATAATTTTCTGGGATTTAAATATCCTCTAGAGGTTTCCCACTGGTTGCTTGGTGTAAGCCCTGTGTAATTGGAGAGGATGAAGTGAAGTTACAAAGATATTTACTTGTTGTACACCCTATGCAAATAAAGAGGATGTTTCCTGACATAGCTGAAGTGGAGTTACAAAGTTATTTTCTTGCTCTATAGAGTTGGAGTTTTTTTTCCATTTGATTTAGTTCTAGGAAGTCCTTAGGATCCCTGCCTTTGGACCCTATTTTCCTGCCTCATTTGTATAATAATTTCAGATGTCCATAAGTATGTGTTAACTACAAATTTATCAACCTCAAAACTAGCTGAACTTGCCTTTCAACTCCTGTTTTGCTTAATGCAGAAAACTTAATTCTCCAATGCAGCAAATTATGGATCGTTTTTGTTAGTCTTTATGTGGTAAATTCACACTCAATTCTAGACTTTCTTCTTAGCATCTTGGTCTCCCTGGGGACTACAAATGTCCCCGGAAGTTATGCAGTATTCAGGAAATGGAATGAAGAAAAGTTTATCTTCCCCTGTGGCATATATCCTTGCATGCAATTTTTTTAAGGAATTATTTTTTAGACTAATTTGAGGTTCACAGCAAAACTGTGAGGAAGGTACAAAGATTTCCCATATATTTCCTGGCCCTGCACATTCATAGCCTCCCTCGTTAACAACATCCTCCACCAGAGTAGGTGGTAACATAGTGGTGAGATGTGAGAGAGGCGAAGCGTTCTATAGTCCCGTTGTTAGGTCTCAGTCTTTTAGTGAGCCTGTGCCTCTGGACTGTGAACTTCAGAAGTGCTTCTCAGTTCCACTTTGAGGAGATAGCTAGAGTAGGCAGGAGTTGAGTATGATCTTTCCTTCAGGTTCATTAGGCTTTGATAAAACCCTGCAGGTTAGGCTATGGTTAACTAGTTTCTTCTGAGGACAGGCCTTGTTAAGAGCAGAGTGTTGTCACCTGTTTCAAAACGGTTTCTATTTTTCTCTGTCTGCTAGAGCACAAGAGAATTTTTCTCCAATATTTACTGTGAGAACCTGATCAAGCTCTTGAAAATAAAACTTACAAAAATATGTTAAGTGTCAAAAAGATTGACAAGAGGAATTATTGATTTTTCAGTCTACTGAACTTTTATTTGTTGTTTGGACTGAGTGGTGACTTTCAATCTTCTTATGTGATAAACTGGAAACAGGAAGTCTGCATGCAATTTTGAGAGAGAGTTTAGTGTACATCTCCTGGTGATGCCCATTGTCTTGCCACATTCCGTGCTTCCTATTATATGTGTTGCATTTATTGACAGTATCCTTTCATTCCAAATCTTAGTCCTCTTTCCATCTTCTAGTACTCTCTTGAATATATCTACACATCTCATGTATAAGAAATTCTTGGATCTTATATGCACCAAGCGACAGTGCATAATGTTTTATGAGTCCAGCCTCAGATCTAGTTACCTAGGAATATAACTCAACCATTGCTGCTCTTAACACACAATAGGCTGGAAAGGCAACTTCCCTCTTCTCAAGCTATACACTCTGGGAAGTGAGGCACAGCCCCTCTACGGTTTCTATGATCTCCCTACATCTGGGACTTTGCCTGAAATAATCACAAGGCAAGCAATATTACATTGGCATCCAGGCTCTCCTTCTTTTTCTTTTCTCCCCAAACTCCTTTATAAAACTTGAAAAGTGTTTTTACTCTTCATTTAGCATAGAGGAACATTAACTTTCATATCAAGTATTTCTCAAAACTCTATTTTTATAATATATGTAATTCCATGTACTTTTGAAAAAAACTTTCTTAAAAAGTTATCTCCTGCAATTGAAATGTTAAAGATTATTGTTTTTGATATGTTATGTAAATTCTATTTTGAAACTCAACAGGCTTCTTAGATTGATTTATAATCTGCCATTTCCCCTGAGATGATGAATGACACTGATTTAATGACTGGAGGGCCTAAGGTCAATGAGAATATAGAGGAAAAAACTACATATTTAGTTTTAAAAATGAAAGAACATACACAGGTAAAAAAAAATAAGAATTGGATTTCATTAGGAATGATGTAGATCTTTAAACACACAGCGCCATGGTTCTTTATAGATTGTCTTGGATAATATCAATGATTTCATGGTAAACTTGATCATAGACATCTAATCCAAACAAAGAGTCTATATGATTGTAGTAAGAAATAGTTTTATAATAAATGTGGTTTGTGATTTCAGAATGTAAAATGTTAACGTCTTCAGGGTCAGCCAACAAGTCACTTTTACCATTCCAAATTGCAGTTGCCACATTCATGTTTGTCATGTTGTATAATGGAGACGTTGTCTGAAAATAAATGAGTGAAAAAATAGTTTTCATAGGAGATGATACAGTAGAAGGTTTTAATTACTAATTGTTAAAATGATGAGTTTAAATACTGTTTTAAAATAAGTCAAATCTAATGGATTCAACTTACTGGATCTGTTGAGACAAAGGTATGAAAGTATGAATAGGGATTACAAGTTTTACTTGAAAATAAGTCATACATAAATCTAAACTAGACAGTTTGTTCTAATTCAAAATATTCGAACATTTCACAGAGGTAATTTCAGTACTGTTTATAAAACATGAAAGATTTTAAATCAAATTTTCTGTAGCAGTATTACTGTCAATATGTTTGTCAATAAATTATAAGTATTGGCAGTCCACGTCAACTCTGATCTCTTTGAATTTGATCTTCAAATTTTATATGAAGATCAGACTTTTATATGAACAGATCACATCAGCCTGGCGTTTAGATGAGACAGAAAAGTATGGAGGAAAAGCATAAACTTTGGAGTCAGACAGACTTGGGTTCTAGTACTTCAATAATTTTGTCCTTATACAATTTTTACCACATTCTCATTTACTTCTAATTTTTCCTAATTATTATATATGTTTTCTTATCTTTCCAAATAGAATAACTGGTTTTAGGGTGAATAAATATATTATGCCTTTTACTTCTTATTTAACCAAGTGTAAAGCTATGGATATAAAAAACGCAGTATTTTTCCTCTTGAGAGATAATAACTTCTTCTACTGCCTGTCAATTTTTCTGGACTTATCCGGGTTATTTGTTGTTAAAATACATAGAAAACATGGAAAAGCCACTTTGGTTGGATGTGACAATACGTATCCAAATAAACATTATCTTCATCTGCTGGTCCTTAATCAGTGTGTTATTGTACTGTGGGGATTTACAGTTGATCCTTGATCTATAGCAAAGTTATCTGAAAAAGTCAGTAAGGTAGAGAGTTTTTATAGAGAATTATGTACCTGATTATAATGAACCAAGTTCAGATCAGGACTGCCCCAGTCATAAGCTTTCAAATGAGTAGAATTTAAAAGCTGAAAGAGAAACAAAAAATAAGACCATATCATTTGTTCATTACAGTGGCAGCTGAGCAAGTTAAGCATGCAATGCATATATACCCCCATTGTACTGGGTCTGCTGGTATTTATGCAGGTGGGCTTCTTCGTTCTTCTTTTCCTTTGGATAGGGAAATAAATGGAAGGGGTTGGAGATGGGGGCAGGGGAATCTAAAGAAATAATTCCATTGTCTTTATATGAATGTACATATACCCAGGGCCTTTTTCTACCCAGAGGGGGGCCTCTTTTGGGAGAAGTAACATCAGGCTCCCTCAAATCTTCAGCTTCATCAACAGAGGTCAACGCTGAGTGTCTTGCACTGAGACTAAGATAACACCCGCCTAAAACACCATGCTTCAAACAATAGGGCTCAAGAGTTTGTCCCAGAAGTCACTTTTTTCTTTACCCCTTTACACTCACAGCCTCACCACCACTTTCTGGCCAAGGTTACTTATGACCTTGACATTTCTAACACTTTGATCAATTCTGAGGAACTTTTTCATGTTATCCGTTGGCAGCACTTGACATAGTTGTTCATTCCCTCATCCTTGAGATCTTTCCTTCACTTAGCTTCTAGAATACCACAATTTCTTTATCTTCATTTTTACTTTGTTCCTTTTCAGCTTTGTTTAGCCAACTTAGTTTCTGCCACCTGACCTGTTAATCTTTTCAGATCTCAATACCCAATCCTTGCTCGAAAGGATCTTGCTCTTCTGTCTATACTCACTTCATTTGCATTTTTGCCTCTGGCTTTTTGTATTCTCACTCTCTTGGCTTTACATGTCATTTATATTCAAAGTGTTTATCTTCTTTTATAAGTCTTTCCTAAATTCTAGGCTCCTATATACAACTGCTTACTCAATGTCATCAATTAAATATCTAAAACTTATTTTACCTTTCCTCCAAAACCTTCATCATCAAACCTCCCTATCTCCTTTAATGGCAATATTACCTTTTCATTACATAAGTCAGGAACTTTAGAATCATCCAAGACTCTCTTTCTCACTCACCTCTTATAGAGTCCTTCATTAAATCTTGTTGCCTGCATGTTCATGATATACATATGTTTATTCAGACTCCATTCATTTTCACCACCTCCACTGTCAACACATCAGTCCAAACAATCATCATTTCCCATTTGGATGATTGCAGTAATTTTCTAACTCTCTCACTGCTTTCACTCTTGTTCTACTATAGTCTACTCAACATAGCAGCCAATGTGTTCCTTTTAAAAGTGTAAACTATATCATATCACTTTCCTGCTCAAAATCATGCAGTGCCTACTCACTTCACACAGAGTGAATGCCAAAGTCCTTACAATGACATGCAGATCCCTGTCTTACTCATTATTTTTGCCTCCTTTCCCTAAGTTTCCATGTTCCAAATGTCACCATCTCACTGAAGCCTGGCCTAACCTTTCTATTCAAAAGTACAACCCACTTCCCAGCATGCCTAATACCTTTTCCCTACTCTTTTACCCCAATTTCTCCATAGTTCTATTCCCTTCTAACACATTATAATAGTTTTTAAAGTTGACATGGTTATTGTTTATAATCTATATACCTACAAATAATATGTAAGCTTGAGGATGACAGGAGTTCTTGTTTTGTTCACTGATGTAGCCCATGAACACAGAATATTATAGGGACATAGTAGGTATACAATAAATATTGTTACAATGGTTAAATAATTGCAAAGGTTGTTTAGATTTTTCTAGTCTACGCATCACCAGAGAAGAAAGTATAACTTACCTAAATATAAGTTATAATAAATGTTTTCAATAATTTATATCAAATCAATTACATTATAGATTTAAACTTTCGTAAATGAAAAAGCCTTACCCAATATCTTAACAATACTTTAAAGTTACCTAGTGTTTATTAACTTTAATGTACATTCATAATCATTAGCCTTTTCAATTCTTACAATATTTTTCTTAGTTAAATCAGAGAATTATTAATTTTACTTTAAAAATAAAGGAAACTGATTCAGGAAGATTAAATGAGATGCTCAATGTCACCCTGCCACTAAGGGCCAGAGAAAGGATTTAATTTCTGGTCTTTTGATCTGAGAAAAGTGTTCTTTCTACTATGTTATCCTGGTTTTCAACATTAAGATTGCATTCACACTGGATTTTTTTTATCAATATCATTAATTGAACAAATATTAGTTGAGTATCTACTATATGCTAAGAACTGTTGACCTTGGAAATACAAACGTGAACAAAACTTCTCATGGTTCTCAGGAGTTGACAATTTAACGGAGGAGAAAGTGCAGTCTAGTGAAAGCGTTTCAGAGTAGGCATTAGGATAACTAACTGTGTTCCGGTCAGATTTTAAAAGTGGAATAGCTTTGAAGCATTGGGCAAGTCGACTGTGGGACATGGCCTAAATAATCCCTAGTCTACTGTTGTAACATTTTCTTATTTGTAAAACTGATATTTATATTGCTGTAACAGTACTTAGGTTTAGAGAATTAATTAAATTATGATACTAACATTTTATTTTTATTTATTTATTGAGACAGAGTCTTACTCTGTCACCCAGGCTGGAGTGCAGCAGTACAGTATTGGCTCATTGCAACCTCCACCTCCCGGGTTCAAGTGATTCTCCCACCTCAGCCTCCCAAGTAACTGGAATTACAGGCATGTGCCACCACACCTGGCTAATTTTTGTATTTTTAGTAGAGATAGGGTTTCATCATGTTGGCCAGGTTAGTCTCAAACTCCTGACCTCAGGTGATCCACCCGCCTCGGCCTCCCAAAGTGCTGGGATTATAGGCCTGAGCCATTGCGCCCAGCCTCAATATTTTATAAACTGTAAGGAATTATAGAAATATATAATAATTTCATTTTATCCTTATAAATTTATTACTCTATGGCCATGGTATGATCCCTAGAATAATGAGGTAAACCATGAGTAGCATGAATTAAATTGTATGGAAATGCACTTTAGCAGTTATACCTGACTCCAATGAAGCATATTTTGAACAGATGTTCCTGCTGGGTTGTGTGAAAAATACACATCCAAACGACTCTGAGGGGTAAAAAAAAAAAAAAAAGCATTTTTATATAAGTTGAATCATAGAGAGCATAATCTTTTAATATTTATTGAACTAAATTATTTCAAGAAAATTTAATTTAAAATTAATCATATTAATAAACAAATCATCAAATTATTTTAATTAAATATACTTATTCAATTGTACAATTTTTAAATTAATATAGAAGCTATTATTGAATTTCTAAGTTATTTCGTCTGCCACTCACTCTACTGGAAACAATCAAATGTGACTGACACACACCTATACAGACACATACACATACACCTTTTGAAAGCATTAAAGAACTAACAAGATAGAAGTAAATTACAAAAATAAATTGAGGAGAGAAATAAAGAACCCCCAAAGACAAGCAAAGAAACAAAGTCAGTTTGTTTAAGGTTATTTGTCAGTCCAGGAGAATGTGAAGTTTCATTCTGAGACCTTAGCTTGTTGAAAAAAACAAAAAATCAAAGTCTAAGGCCTGTCAAAGTTGAAAGATTTTAAAAAGAAACACTCTCCATAAGGGCCTCAAATTCTATAGTGCCCAAGGTAAAGCCATAATGTTAATCTGTAATCTATGTTTGCATTGCCTAGATAGTTCCTGGAACCTCAGTGAACCAGACATGTAGAGTACTGATCTCAAAGTGACCTCAGGTGCCTTGAAAAAGCAAGCAAGTTTTATTTCCACAAGAAGAAAAGGCCTGTCTTACTATTCCAATTCTTAGTAAAAATTTCTCAAAATCAGTTAACCCTACTCAAAGAAAAGCAAGTATATGAAGAGAGAGGTATCATGTAAGAACAAGCAAAAATGAAAAAAATTATTTTAAGAAGCCTCACAAATATTTTTGATGTTATCAGATGCAGACTATAAAAAATTATTCAGGTTTACAGAAATTGTAAAGCAACCACCAGAGGACAGGAACCTTAAGAGAAGAAAAATACAAGAAGCAAACCTTTCATTAATCCCAACTTTCATCCTGCGGACATTTTCCAATATGGTGCAGGGAATTAGAGCCAAACAGAGAATGGTAGTCTTGCTGGGCAGAAGAAACAGAAATCGGTCTGTGTGGGTGCTATAGAGTTGGACTAAAGGCCATAGATTACCAGGAGAAGTAGTCTCCTGAATTAAAGAGAAGTGAATGAAATAAGGCCAACCCTAAAGTCAAAAAATGGGCACTGACAATTAGCTAAATGAGCCAAAACTCTTGAAAGGGTAACTGCCATGGTTTGAATGTTTGTTCCCTCCAAAATTCCTGTTGGTTGCCATTGTGGTGGTGTTAGGTGGGATCTTTGCGAGGTGATTGAGCTGTAAAGGCTCTGCCCTCATGGATGGGATTAATGCCATTAAATCCCAGCAGTTTGGGAAGCCGAGGTGGGTGGATCACCTGAGGTCAGGAGTTCGAGACCAGCCTGACCAATATGGTGAACCCCATCTCTACTAAAAATACAAAAATTAGCCAGTCATGGTGGCGTGTGTCGGTAGTCTGAGCTACTTGGGAGGCTGAGAGAGGAGAATTGCCTGAACCCGGGAGGCAGAAGTTGCAGTGAGCCAAGATTGCACCACTGCACTCCAGCTTGGCTGACACAGCAAAACTCTGTCTCAAAAAAAATAAAAAATAAAAAATAAGATAAAATAAAAGGGTGAGTTTGGCTCCCTTTTGCTTCATTGTTGCTTCTTTGCCCTATGCCCTTCACCATGTGGTGGCATAGCAAGAAGGCCATTGCCAGATGTCAGTGCCTTGATCTTGGACTTCCCAGCCTCCAGAAGTGTGAACCAATACATTTCTGTTCATTATACATAACCCAGTCTTGGGTATTCTGTTATAGCAACACAAAATGCACTAAGACAGTAATTTAACCAAGAGAATGTGCAGCATACTATTCACAGTCCCCTGCAATCATTCCTAGTCATAGAGTGAAACAGGAAAACACAGCCAACAATTAGCACATAAAACAATCAGCAAAAGCAGATGCAGAGATGCTGCAAACATTAGAGTTAGCAAAAGCTTTAAAATAAAGTATGATTAATATGCTAAATAAAATATTTTTTAAAGTTTAAAATGGTCATGAAGGTAGAATATTTTAACAGATAATTAGAATTTATTTTATAGTCAAATGGACACTCAAAATAAAAATACAATGTATAAACTTTAAAATTTATTAGATGGATTTAAAAGCAGACTATACACAGCAAGAGACAGGATTATTGAACTCAAATTCAAGCCTATATAAAATATTCAAACTTAAGCACAAAGAAAAATAAAATAGAGCAAAGAAAGATGTTGGCCACTGTCAAGTGGTCCAATATTTTGAAAGAAGAAAAAGAATTGAAATGCTAATGGCTGAGAATGTTTAAGTTTGATGAAAGAAATTCAGTGTATCCCAAACAGTGAACCCCAGTTAAACTGGTATAAAGTTTTTGCATTATTTAGGATGTGGATATAAACACAAACTTAACATAAGTAATAATAAATGATACATTTTATAATTTCTAAGAGAATAATAAAAAATATTTCTTAGAGCAGTAACAAAATAAGAGAAGATAAAGTAAAGTATTAAAATGTATTTCAGAAACACAAAAGTAGTCAAGAAATGTGAAATAAAAAGAATACCAGATAGGACAAACAAAAAGCATATAGCAGGATGATAGCCATAAATCTAATCTTAATAATTATATAAAAATAAATTTACTAAATACTGTAATTCAATTAAAAGGCAAAGATTGTCAAATGAAAATATTGTTAATACTATAACTGAAGACATAAAAGACAAGCTTTAAAATATCTTTGAGGAACAATAAGAACAAAAAAAACCATAAAAATTGACTCATCAGATTGAAGATGTGTATATATATATATGTGTGTGTGTGTGTGTGTGTGTATATATGTATGTATATATAAATGTATGTGTATATATATACATACATACACACTGTGGAATATTAATCAACCATAGAAAAGAAAAAATTCTGCCATTTGTGACAGCATACATGAACCTGGAGGGTACTAGTAAGTTAAATAAGCCAAATAGAGAAAGACAAGTACTGTATGGTATCACTCCTACGTAGAATCTTAAATAAATAAATAAATAAAAGAGTGAGCTCATAGAAACAGAGTAAAATGGTGGTTGCCAGGGTCTGGCAGGTGGGAAAAATGGGGACATGGTGGTCAAAGGGTATAAACTTTCAGTTATATAGTAAATACATTTTGAGGATTTAATGTACAGGATGGTGACTAGCTAATAATACTGTACTGTATACTTGAAATTTGTTAAGAGAATAGATCTTAAGCATTATCACCAAAAATATGACTATGTGAGGTGATAGATGTGTTAAACTTGATTGTGGCAATTATTTCACAATGTATTTATTTGTCAATTGTACCTCAATAAAAAGAGAGAAAATTTCTTTTGTTTCCATTGCCATTCAGGCTACTTGAAACTGTCAAAAATAAAGTTCTGACTGAACAATTTTAAATAGCCTGTACAGAAATTTTTAACAGAAACATTCTTCTCAGGTATTTATCATGTCCTCTATATATTAAATTAATATAATATATTATTATAATATAATATAATATTTTATATTATTGTAATAATATAATATATTATATTATTAAATACAATATAAAATATTATATTATTAAATATAATTAAATTATATAAATTTAAACTCAGGTATAAATTAAAACTCAGGTATTTATTATGTCCTCTAATTATAATTCTTCTCTGTATTTGAAATAAGCTCCAATATAATGCTTAGTTTTCTGGTACACTCCAGATATTCCTTCCATCATGGGTCACTACTGTTTACCTTAATGTAGGTCAGAGGCTTATACAACCCAAATCGCACTGTTCTGTTCATCCTTCTGGATGAAGAAGTGCACAGTAGCTTTCATAAACACCTGTCAGGCCTATCTGTGAGCAATATGAAATGTTTACCAGAGTCTCTACTTCACCTTTATCAGAAAGATAAGAAGGAATCCATTCCCTGAAAGGGACCTAAATAATAATCACACACCCTTGACAGCTGCACTCAGATATCTCAGCCTCATTTCCCCTCATAAGAGTTAGAATTTCTTTTTGTAAATCATCACCAAAAAATTGTAACACCTGGACAAGGTCAAAACTTTGGTTGTTTGATGATACATTTTCCAAGTCACATTGTGAGCATTTTTATCATCTGTTTTTTCTTGCATCATGACTTGCTTTCAGTTCTCATGACTTGCTTTCAATTCTCTGGTTGGTTTTCCACACCTGAGTGACATCAGTCAGATTCCACTCACTGCCTTTTCACAAACTACCAGATTCTCTTTTGGTTTTTCATACTGGCTCTAAGCAAATAATTTTAAGCCAGACCCTACTTCCTCCACAGATCTTGCTAGGCTCAAGAGACTGATTCAAGCTGAACCACAGTTTCACAATTAACTATTTCCAAACACACTGTGCGTGAAAATTTTCTACTTCCAACTTCCTACAATTTCAGCTAAATTAAGACACAGTCATATTACAATCTACAACACTGTCAACTTCTGTTGCAGAAGAAATGCCACAGTTTTGGAGGCTAGAAAACCAGAGTGTAAGCTTTTCTAATAATTTATACACAAAAAAGAGTTCTCAGAGACATCACATTATAATTACAAAAAAATATAGAATTGGCCAAATATACTACCTAAAACATAGAATGAGTGGATAAGTAAAAATAAACATTGTATTTATGATTCTTCCAGGCCCCTCATAGTAGGTGCTTAGCACTAGATGAACAGAAAAATATGAAAAAGAGGGAATATGAAAGTAATCCTTTCTGCCTTCTCATATCTTTATGGGTGGAAAAGACGAGAACTGAGTTTCTTATAGCATTCTAAAAATAAAGTAAGGTTGAACAAAATCAACAAAGTCAACAAACATGTCCTTGTGGCATAAAAATGTGTTTGGGAATTAAGAGAATACCTATCTTTCTTTGAATGTCTATATTGGCTCTCTTTGAGAAGCTCTTAAAAGGTCCAGGTACAAGAACCAACCTCTAGTCCAAATGGCACATTTGCTTCTGCCAAATCTGGATGTTTAATTTAATGTGATGAAAAACACTTAGAATGAATGCCTATATTCTTAAGAGAACCTATACACAATCAATCCAAAGGTTTTGGTAATAGTACCTTGAGTACCACAATAGTTTCCCACTCCAAGAGTATTGATAAAAGCTAGAAACTTAAAGATAATTGGAAGGCACTAATTCTAATTATGGAAGGATCAACAAGGATAGGAAGGAGTATTAGGAACCAGGAGGAGCAGTTATGGAGTTACAGGAAACAAATGAATAGAAGAGGACCTAAATCTTAGAAGTCTCAGGAAACTAATACCCAATAGCAAAGGTCAATAAAGATACCCATCACATCAGCTGCTCTCGAATATTTACAGACAGCAAGACAAATATGGAAGTAAAATAATCCCAGCATGTTCATGCAAGTTAGTTGTACAATGTTGGTGTAGTCATAAAATCAGATAGGCTAAGAATCTGACTACTAGTGTATGTGGATGAAACACAAAATGACACAAGGTATAACACAAGCACTATTATTATTATACTTTCCAAATATTGGAAAATATATATATTTCAAATACAACTTGTTCTTACCATATTTAAGTTTTTTGGGTCATATCCAAACATCATAAACAAGATATTGAGGCAAATCTTATCAAAAATCTGTAGTGGACACAGCTTTGAACCAATGAATTTTTTAAATGAGGTTTTAGGCAAGAAGTCTTTGTTGCCTGAAAAAGCCTGTAAAATAAATTTATTTTATCCACATTTGGATGACCACAATAAGTGCTAAAGAAATGTTGTGGTAATTCACTATCTATAAAACCAAATAAATTATCTCACAGTAGTTTGAAAATTTTAAATAAAGGAAAAAACTTGGAAGCAGGGTGTGGAGATGGTTTGGCCACTGAATTTCTTCTCACAGTAGGGTTCTAAAGTTATAATAAGTAAAATTGTATTCCTTTGCAGAAACAAAAACAAGAATGTAGTGTAAATGAAACCAAAAATTTCAATCCATACTTGTGGTTGTCTACGTATAGTCAAGATCTCTTATTTGAAAGCATAAAATTATCACTTTGGGTTATCAATGACATAAAATAAAGGTAGAACATACCATGACTATTGACTTCCATTTGTATGTCATTCTAATTAAAGGACTTTTTAAGTACTTTGTGGAAAAAACTGGTGCTAAAGCAAAAAATATTTTGATTCTTTCAGCTATCTTTGATATAGTAGAAAATGTTATGAAACCTAAAATAAAATAAGATATAAATTAGTAAGCTATTCTTAAGCAATTACTAGCATGTAAGAGATGACACCAAGGAGAATAAGAGTAAGTTCAAAAATAGTTTCTGAACAATTAACTTATTTCTTAATTCATTTATCAAACATTTTTAAATCACCTAGTATACAACATTATATTGATCATAATATAATGCTGATAATTTGGGTTTCTAAAATGTATAGACCATAAAGAATGATAATTTAGCAATAAATCAGACATGTAATGCCATAGTTTAAAAATTAGGAGCAAGATTGAACATTTTTTATAACTTGCAGTGGTGAAAATGAAATATGTGAAATTTTCAGACAGATGAATCTTATAATTTAGGTGACAGGCTTAATAAATGTCCCATCATTTTAATATTTATCTTCAATATATTTTAAAACTCCTTATCTTCTTATACAGAGGATACTAAGCATCTTATTTTATTGGCAATTTAGAGGCATTAATGTGAAAAATAGTCATTTTTCCCTTTGCCATCTTATCAAGCTATCTACTTACACATCAATATTCTGATTGATTATTTATTTATTATTTATTTATTTAGGTCAGGTTCTGAGAAGCCAAACAGCCAAAGAATTATATATCATATAGTAAGTCCACAAGCTCTGACACTCATTACTCACTTTTTTTTCTTATTTCTACATTTTCAGGCATTCCTGGTTTTAAATAATTGAATAGTTGATGAGAATTTGGACTAAAAGTCACATATATGGCTAATACATGTCAGAGAAAAGATCTATACAAAATGGGATTAGATTGTTACTCAACATGCTTTTTCTAATAGGAAGTGGATTATTTCTATAAGAAAATTATAGTCTTCAGCTTAGAAATGACTTACTTAATATTAGCTTCATTATAAGATGGCTTTTTCTCCCTGCAAAGTGGGTAAAGAGGTTTACAGTACCATGCAAGAGAATTATGTTAGGTCATAGGTCATTTATTTCCGAAAGTAAAGTTGTTATGTATTAGATAGGCATTAGAGTTCTGATTAAAGTTCTTTTCTAGTCATCTTTAAATATAGAAAGAATTTCCTGATTTTTGTTCATTTCTTAAGTTTGATCAGTCCGAAATGCAAAAACATACATAGCTTTTTCATCTTTTCCACTCATAATATCCTATGCTACATTTTTAAAAGGAAAAATAATGTGAAAGTTCTATTTGTAGAACAAATAATAGTGGCAATCTCACTTTGATCTTAAATAACATAGATATCCAACTTTTATACAATTTGAAACAAACAAAACCACAACCAACCTTGTCTTTACAATCAATTCTTTGTGACTAGAGAAGACTCCATGGGGGATCAAAGCAGCATGTAAGATTCCAGGGCATTCTGCTGTACTATGTTTGTCTCACAGTTTTTGTTTTACTTACAGGTCTAGAAGCTTATCTACAACTTTAAGAAGTATATGCACAACCTTAAAAAAGAAATTAAGGGATATTAGCAATAATCTTTCTTGGCATACCAATAGTAGTACCCTGTGAATGGCCTACATAAAATATTTCCTCTTGTCTGGTTTGCTTCACAGTGAAATCAATAGAGGCTGGAAGGTCATATTTTGCCATCTCATCAAAACTACAAAAGAAAGAGGAAAATAAAAATAGCACTTTCTACTAATGTTATGTTAGTATTTGAAAATAATGAAGAGATAACTGAATAAAGGCAATTTTCTACTCTAGTTATTAATAAGGAAGTTATACGGTATAATATATCTTCTGAATAGAGACTTCTGTGGGAACTCAAACTCAAGGAAATAAAATCACAAGGCAGTCTTATAAAGAGGGTGTTTGTATATGAAAAATAGAGTAGGGTAGACAAAATATATGAGTTATAGAGTAGAAGAGTAGTTAAAGGAAGGATGGGGTTGGTCAGTAAGGTACTAAGTAAGAAATAAAGATTATTGCTGAAACGTAAGAATCAAACTCAAAATCACACAAGTACTCTTTAATTTTCAAGCAAAAATTCACATAAATTGTAATAGTCTATGGAAAGTCCTAAATTGTGAAAATAGTAAGACCTAAATTTTATTTTATTGCATTCAAAATGAAAAATTTGTATACACTTATAAAATGAAATGTTACTTCATTTTATTTGTACCTGAAAGCCCAGAATTCTTTGGAACTCGTTTCTAGGTACAAGTGTTTCCTGGACCAGGTATTTCCTCTGCTATTTCCCATCCACACATCATAACCAGCATCTGCCAGAATGAAGCCCAGACTATTGTTGGGAAGATTGGAAATCCAGCTGCTGGCAGATGTAAGCAAACCATGTTGCAAGTATACAACAACCCTCTGAGCTGAGAAAAAAATGTAGAAAGTTCTTTATAAATTTTGTAGTTATCTATATGAAAATCTTTTATCTGAAATTCAAACTTTTAGTACATGACAGTTTAAAGATTTTAAAAAATTGTTTTCATAAGTGGGGTAAGTTATTAAGATTTAATCCCGTTGTATGACAGAGCTGTTTAATACAGTTCACTAATGGATGTCTTTCAAATAACCAAGTGAGCAATTAGGTCACATCACACTTAAATATGTACATTTTACTGAGAGAAAATAATAAAAAATTTTATAGTAATTCAAGCACTCATACACATTTTAAGTAACACATTTTAAATCAGGGATCAATTACATAGCAAAGTTGACACATCCATTGGCACATGGCCATGGTATCCACTGGTCCTACCATATAACTCCCAACAAGAGGCTGCCAACCTGATAGAAAAATGAAACAAGCCCTTGAATGCTCAGTAAAAGCCAGCTGGGAAAAAGCCAGCTGGGAGATGACATCCTGTAAGTATGGGCACTATCCTTCAGGATTTATTGTACATCTTTTAAAAATGGTGAGAATATATTAGTGATTCCCCAATAAGTAGAATACAGGAGTCTGAGGAACAAGAGCTTGCCATGACTCCTAGTAACCCATTTAGGGATCTGTTCTCACAATTTTAGCCTCTACATATCTAGAGGCCCTGGTCTCCAGAGAGAAAATGCTTCCACCAAGGCACTGTAAGCATCCTAACAAACAAGGCTATGACCACCGCCTGGTCACTTTGGGCTCTTCATTACTGAAGACCAGGAAGTTCATTGACCCTGATCATCATAAGGAAGTAGGTCTGCTGCTACAAAACGAGGAAAGGGAGAAATACATTTGCTCTTCAGGAGATCCACTGAGTCATCTTTTCCTACTTCTATGCCCTGTTTTAACTGTACATGAACAAGTGCAACCATCACCTGATATGAATATGTTAGCCCCTAGGGATGAAGGTCTGGCTTACCCTATCAGGCAGGCTAGCTGAGAGGTAGAGAAAGCTAGAATAGATGGTGGAGGAGGACATTTATGAGTACTAGTTATGGCCTTAGGTTGCTTTTTAAGGGTTTACTATTGCTCATCAGGCAGGCTAGCTGAGAGGTAAAGAAATCTAGAATGGATAGTGGAGGAGGACATTTATGAATACTAGTTATGGCCCTAGTGTTGCTTTTTAAGGGTTTACTATTGCTCCTTTCTCTGTAGAATTGCCCATGGCCAAATTGGAACTGCCTCACCTAAGAGATCACACCTCCTTCTAGGGGTAGCCTTCAGGCAATGATTAACTGATTTAGGAATGCAAAAAGCTGGCTCTCTAATCTCAGGGTGGGACCACCTCTGTAGTGTAATTTTTATGGGAACCTTGAACTCCTCTGAGATCATCTTTTAGCTAGCCCCAAGCTGAGTCATATTATATTATTCCTTAACTCTTTACCCTACTTTATCCTAATTTCCACGTTACTGCCTCCTGACAGTATTTCATCAATCAGTCACATGTACCTGAACCCCTCTCTCAGGCTCTGCCTTTAGAGCACTCTAAGGCACTTGCTGTGTTTTAAAATTATCTTTAAATCTTTAATACAGTACTTGTAAAATGAGGTCATAGCTTGGGGGATAATTACTATTATTATATAAAATCTATGTTAAGATTTTCTGCTACTGGGTATAACCTTTATAAATATGCAAAATTATGTTAATTGAGGTTGTTTCAAATTAATATCCTCTCTGAAGTGTACTTTAATGTTCAAAATAACTTGAGAGGATGCCCTATAATATAAGAAACATTCTATTTGTTTCACATCCTGTTTCCTTCTGAAAGAAACATTCTTTCAGGAAGAAAAGCTAAGGAGAAAATACTTGGCTTTTATTTGGGTAATTATATGAATAAGAAAAAGTAATCCATTACATATTCTACTAGTAAGTGGCAGATCTAGGATTACAACCCAGATCTCCTAACAAATTCCAGTGCATTTTGCACCACACTCTGATGATACTTACTGTTGGAATAAAGAGCCCTGAGGCTGCTACTAACCTCATCTCTCTGCTATTTCTAGAGGAGAGAATCAGAAAGACAAAAAAGGAAATTTGTACCAGCCTTTCTTCAAAACCTAGAGCATAATAATGTTATTGTGTTTCAGAGCATTTCTAATTTCTCATCAGAAAAAGAAAATTCTAGAGAATCAACATGTAAGAGCAAAGTGATCCACAAAGGAAACCTGGGAAGAACAGCTTGTGTTCCATCACAACCTCTCTGTGACCAGAAGGCCGGTGTATCTTCTTGTGTGACTCTTCTTGTAGCATGCGAGAAGATACATGGGAAGTTAACTATTCACTTAATCTTAAGATGCTTTTCTTGTCCTATGTTCTCCGTCAATTGGAGCAATTAAGAACTTCAGGCCCCAGATTGTCACCAATCCATCTTCAATTGAATATTACCTAGATTTTTATTATTGTCTGTCCTCCAATAAGGAATTCTATAAAGGCCAAGGATATAACCATCTTCGGTTACAATATCATATTCTTCATCAGGGTAGCCCCAGTAGGAAATAATCTGGCTCTAGATAAAGAAAAAGCAAATCTTTTAGCATAAAATTGTTATCCAATTAAGTTGAATGGTTTGCCATTTCTAACGCATTATGTGACAATGAACCTTGGTATTCTCTCTCAACCTCAAGCCTATCTATTTTTATTTTCACTAATTTACTGATTCATACAGATAATAAATATTTGTAAAATACCTACTGAGCAGCAGTTTTATATACTAGGGATTGAAAGAATAAAATAAATAAACAAACAAACAAACCCCTACCCTCAAAGAGATATCTCAAGAATATTTTCTTTTTTAACTACTAGTCTCTCATACTTTTACCTACCCACTCGTATACAATTTAAAAATATACATGCATCCATAAATGTTTGCATGTCTATGTGTATATCTAATCTTATATCTGAAATTTGTATATTTATAAATATGTAGAAGAGAAGGAGATATATATTCATACCTTCATATATATGAATATATATTTCAAATATGTGAAAGTATGAATATAGTTACACATTTTTCATTACAAAGATAGAATAAGGCTGAAGGAGAAACTAAGCTATAGAATAGCAGATGAGAAATATTAACATATAGATGTATACGTTTGACTGTAAATCTATTAAGTTAAAATTCCAAATTTGAAAAGTAGCATTCTCTGTTATTTCAGCAGTCCAGATTTATTTTCTAACAACTTACAATATTCATATCTGCTTCAGGTTTCACAGATCTTTAATTTTGAAAGACACCATGAGTAATTCCAAGAATTCGGATAAAATACATCATTGTGAAAAGATACCACGTTTGGGACCTATATATAAAAGGGAGATGTTTATACAGTTAAAATTGCAGCAAATAATACCATTTATAAAACTGCAGCCAATAATTCTATGAGGTAGGAAATATTACTGTTTTCAGGTAAGAAAACAGAGGCTTTGAAGAATTAAATAACTTGGCTAAAACCATAAAATGTATAACTGGCAGTCAGAATTCAGATTCAGGACTGCTTAATTTCAAAGTCCATGCTTTTCTGGCTACCCTATTTTGTAGATAAATTCCCTCTTAGAAGTCTCCATTGTAGTATTGCACAGTCCAATTCTGAGAGCTTTATCATGTATTACAAATTAATTGATGTGTGAATTAATGCTGTAATAGTATTATTACCAGCCTAACATTTATTTAACATATATTTAATTGTTTTTTTAGCGGGGAGGGGAAAGAACGGGGAGATTTGGAAGCTTGGATAACTTTCATTCAGCAACTCATTTTACTTTTTTTACAGATAGGTGATTTTTGAGTCTCCTAAATTCTAGGAAGGCAGAACTCTTAAGTTTTTTCTTAAAACAATAAACCAGGTACCCACAGAGGCTGCCATCCAGATTCTCCCCCCAAAAGCATGACTTACTAATCTTATGAGCCTTGTATAATAAGCCAACCACTATACTCAGAAGGACATGATTCAAGGATTATAAAACCCCTAGCTCCACCACTCATTAGCTAGGTGACTTAAAGCAGATTACTTAACCTCTGTGATCATCAGTTTCCCTGCCTACAAAATGCAACTAATACCTACTTCTCAGGATTGTTATAAAACTTAAATCTGATCAATGTAATATGATGTATTAGTGTAATATCTGTCATAGAGCTGACATTAATATGTAACAATCCTCCTTATGCAAGAGAACAAATTACAAGCAATTTAGGGAGATAATTTACATGCACATACTTGATATGTCTTTCTTACATATTTATTAGTCCAGTTTCCTGTGCACTGACCGCTTGAAAAAAATTATGTAAATCTGAAAGTTTTAAAGTGCATTCATTTTTAAAAAAACACTTTCTAACTGAAAACTTTAATTTACAGAAGCTGCACTTCTTTCCTTTGGTCCAGGTATTTATATTTGGTATAATATCTGTGGTTTTCATTGAAGGCAACAGCAAAGTTTAAAACAGCATTATCAATATCTTCTACCAAAGAGAAGAGCAAGAGCTGCTAATTTAACTGCACATGGAAAAACTTTATAACATTTGGAATCACATTTAGATATTCCTCTTTGGTTGTATTCTTGGAAAAGTGCTCAGCAGGCAGCAAGTCTACTCAGTTCTCTCTCCTCATGGGCTGTCTCAGATAAGTACATGGAAATAGCTTGGGAAGAAATATTTTCTCTGTCTGTACAATGTATTAACTGATATTGTAGCTTACTACACACTGCTTGCTTCCTAGCTGAGGTTTTAAGATGCTTTGCATTATATCTAGAAGGAATGTATAGACTATCATCTGAAACAAGATACCTTTTAAAATAAAATTCTATTAATAATTTTCTTGGGAAAATAGGCATAATCTGGACTGTTCCAGGCATGTAGGTTTTGACTGCCCAATTTATAGCCTCAAATATTTACCCAAATTTTAATATTTTTATACAAAGAAAACACAGAGGGATAAGCCTTTGATATATAGTTGTGGTACTCCTAATAACCACCAATGGGAAATGTTTAAACTGAATGAAATTAACCTTATTATTTGCAGTGACTCATCAACCATACAAAGCAACTAGTGAAAAAGTTCACTAAAGTCTAGAATGTGGCCATTGAGCACTTGAAATGTGGCCAGTGAGAAACTGAATATTTTATTTTAGTTAAATTAATTTTAATATGAAAGCTAAAGCAGTGTAAAATATTTTTCTGTTAAACACAACTTTAAATTTTTATAAGATTTTCTGTATTGTTAATCCAAATTCAAGACTGTCTTGAAACAAAAGCAATACTTGTCAAATATCCCATAACTGAAAACAAGAAAATGGCAGGATGACGTGTTTTTTCATCCATATCATGCTGAATGGAAAAGCTCATTTATTACCTTAATAAACTGCTACTAGACTTTATGTTGAAATGAAAACTTTCCATAATGCAATTCAATAATAATGATTTACACATTTTTCTAACATGAATCAATATGCAGATTTTAATTCTAAACAACAGCATTTATATAAATTGGCTACAAAACTACAAGAAAAATAGTTGATATTAATAAATTTAGAGTTGCTTTGCAACTCAAACTTGAATTTGATATTAATAATTTTAAGTTGACATGAGCTATTTAAATATACTTAACTTGGAGAGATAGAGTTTTTAAGTTGATATGTTTTTACTTCAAAGTCTAATCAATTTTTCTAAAAAAGATAAATAATTTTGTCATAGTAGATGCAAATATAAGAGAAAATTGTTTATTTATAGTCAATTCAGTTACTGAAACTTTTAAATATGTTTCAAACAATTTAGGTATGTGAAACTACTCTTGTAGGTGTAAATTTTATGAACTCTAAAAACACCTCAAGTGTGTCTAATACAAATTTAGCTCCAGAATTAAGATCTTTTATACATGTAAAATAAACTCTGGATTTTGAAGGTTTACAAAAAAAGATAATGTAAAATATCTCATCAATAATTTTTCTAATACATGTTGAAATAATAATTTGGATAAAATCGTTTGCTATTTATTAAGTTCATGCAAGATATCATAGAAGTAATCACTACTACTAGATTAAAATATTACCTTGGCCTGTAAACCTTGTACCTAATGGAGCAGGTAATCATTATTACTTCAATTTGAGTTACTTGCCATAATTTTCCATCCATGCTGGTTGCCTGGTGAGATACTATTCCATGGAGCAAATCACTGGTGTTTGCTCTGCTAAGAGGCAAACTTTCATAAGGCAGCCAAAGATGAAAGTGAGTAAAAAGTGTAGTTTTGTACCACAGCACTAAAACTGGAGGTTGCCAGAATTTTAAATAATGATTTTTAAAAGCTATCACCCATTTAGCAAAAGTACTTAAACAAAATATGAAGATATCAAATATCTGTAATATTAATAACATTAATCCACAACTACAATATAATTTCCTAAAAGATGACTTGAGAATTATGTTTCTTTAGCTTCTGCCATTAAAATGATTAGTTTGACTCTAGGTACAACACACAACAATGAAAAGTATTATATCATACCTCTCTGCTTTTGTTGATTTTAAGTGTCCAATATATGTGTCTTCAAAGTAGTCAGTCATATATTGTGTTTCTTTTAGCAAAAGTTGCTAAGTAGAGTCATAGGAAAGCTAAGAAAAAGCATATTATACTAAAAAGAAAAAATAAAAAGAGAACATTTAGCTCAAGGCAATATTAAATTCAGCTTCCTATTTTTTTCAAGCCCCTTTCCCATACGTTAATCCAAATACATTCACATCTTGACGAAAATGAGAAAACCACTACAGAGGTTGTTAGTGATAGTTTCCCGCTAGTGTCCATTAAAAAGCAATTAAAAGTATTAAGATATGAAACTTCCTTAAAAGTCTGAAGTAGATTTATTTTTCTGTCTGGCAGTTATTGTAATAACAGCAACAAGTAGTGACTATGCAGTCTATAATGACTTAAAGGAGTTCAAATATAGAAGCAACAGTCTTAAAAGTATTGTTAGGTCTCAAAAGAAGACATTTACACGGCCAATGAACACATGAAAAGAAGTTCAACGTCACTGATCATTATCCAACTGAATTACCATCCGGTCTATCTTCATTTAAGTATTATCCTCAAAAGTCTTGTATATCTTCCAGCAAACAGATAGTGAACCCTCATAGTCTCTGAGAATTCTAACTTTGATTCTAGTTGCCAGGGAAACTGCGTTGAACATGACAAAATTTCTACCCTCTTGGTGCTTAAATTCTAGTAGGATAAACAATAAATAATAAATAAGTAAACAGGTAAAAAAGTGAGATTACTTCTAAAAGGGATTGAGATGAAGAAAATAAAGCATTCATTTTTCCATCATTTAATGGACTAGGGAGTCACTGGGTGGCTATTTTAGGTCAAGTGGTTAGAGAAGACCTCTTTTAGGTGGCTTTTAAGCTGATTTGAATGAAGTCATTCAAGGAGTCAGCCTTGAAAAGATCAAGAATAGGAAAAAAGTCAAGGGAAAAGGTCAAGGTGATTAGGAAAAAATAAATATTAGACATGGGGGCTGTCTCACCTATCTTGCAATCCTAGGTGATCTAGTCATTCTAGGTCATCTAGTCATTCTTACCTTTCCAGAAAGCTGCACTACTGCCAAGTAGTCAACCAAGGACCCATTATGCTATTAACTGTGAAATCAGATGTAACCCATGGAGGTTGGGGCGTAATGAGAAATTGCAAACCACTATGGCTATTTCCATTCGATGACCATAGCAATCCAAAATTCTGGATAACTGTTTTTGAAAGAGCGTATGATCATAGGGAGAAAGAAAAAAGACAAAGATAAATGCGGATTCACAACTGCAGGAGATGCAAGCAAAAACGATGCTGTATACACAGAGAACAGCGTAAGTAAAGGTTTTCTTCTGCCATAGATAAGTGGAAAATCTGAGGATGTGTTCAAGGAAAAGAAAGATATTCAGTTTAGCGAAAGCACAGAACAAATGAAGACACAAATGTAAGTGATAACTGTAGGATGATAATATATTATTGAACATTTTTATGCCAAATGAATGAATGGAACTTAATTCTGTATGAAACTGAGAGCTACAGAAAGTTTTTGAGGATAGTAATGACATCTAGAAGCTGGGTGCAGAACTGGGAAGTAGGAAGACTAGTTAGAAAGCTACGGTAATAATCCCAGTAAGAACTGATGGCCTGAACTGGTGTGATGATAGTGGGTTATCAGAATTTATTAACATTAGTGTCACTAAAGTTGATACACAACCCTCCACTGCTAAATTTGACTGGCTTAAAAAAAAAAACCTAATGGCTTGAACTCAAGTAGTGAATTCGTTTTTTGGCAATTACTCTTTGAAATGTTAAACGTTCACAGTGGGCAGAGTGCAGTGAAGAGAAAGTTCCGACCTTACCATATTCTGTTCACTGTTTTCTACCATTGCTGGTGGAAATGGAATTTGAGCAACTTTTCTGTTGTACAATCTGATGTGACTGGATGATTCAAGAGACAATGGAGAAACGGTCAAAAAGACCTGAGGGCTGATAGGTATCAAGGATGAGAAAAAAGAAGCTATAGAAGATAATTATGAAGTTTCAAGTCTCATTGTCCATGATGATCAAATTATTAATAGAAATGAGGAAGCTGGAAAGGATGGAAAAGAGCAGGAGAGCAGACTCAGAAGACCATGAAGGCCTGCCCTTGCTTCACCGTTGAGATGATAGGTAACCTTGGGCAAACTCACTTGAACTTAGTGTCTGTATTAACGTGTATAAAATGGTGGCAGAGGACAGTTGAAATAGATTACTGCAAATGTACTTTCCAGATTGACGATTTTGAGATTTTAGGGCTATGGCTGTGAATCACATTAAGCTTTTAATTTCAGAGAAATCTGAACTTTTAATTTCAGAAAAATCATAAACTTCAATGTATAATTGTACACTATTTCCCCAAGATAAATGTCTGCTTTAAATGGCATATTTTTAAGGCTTTTGACATAGTATCAGACTGTATTATGACAAATTTGTCTAGTACACTTCCATCAGTAATATACCATTGTGTATTTTGCTGTATCCCTGAAAAAAAGACATTTTTACATTTACAAAAGTAATTCCTAACCCGGGGAACATGGCAAAACCTTATCTCTACATAAAGTATACACACCCACAAAATGAGCCACACGTGGCGGTGGGCACCTGTAGTCCCAGCTACTCAGGTGGCTGAGGCAGGAGAATAGCTTGAGCCTAAGAGGTCAAGGCTGCAGTGAGCCCTGATCGTGCCACTGCACTCTTGCCTGAGTGACACAAGACCCTGTCTCAAGAAAGAAAAAACAAAAAACTCAACAAATGAAAAATAGTACCTCATTTTAATTTGTATTTGAATATAAAAAATTAAACACATGCTTATTGGACTTACGTATTTCTTTTTATTCAAGAACTCTATCCAATATATACACATTTTCCTTTTGGCTTTTGTCATTTGTGTCTTTAAGACTTTGAATAATGTTTTTAAATAATATTAACTTTAATCTTTCATACACCTTTCAGAAATTTACTATTTGTATTTTGTTTTGTGTATTTTGTAACACACAAGTTGTAAATGATTATGTATTTTCTGTTCAATTCCATCTTTCATTTTTATGCTTAAAAATGTCTTCTTAGTCATATATGCCCGTCTACATTTTCTTCTAGTTCTTTTATTAGATATATCTAGTATTAATTCGTCACCCATTTGATACATGGTAATTTTTTTCATGATGTGGACATGAAGTAAATATTCTGATTTTTAAATGTTTCCATTATAATTGGCTACCATTGTCAATTTTCTTATTGGTTCTGATACTTATTCGGTTTCTTAGTTTTCCAGGTAATAATTTATCTGCAAGTCAGCGTAACTTAATTATTTGTTTTTTAATAGTTCAGTATTACCATTGCCTTTGTTGTTTCATTGAGAACTTCCAGTACAATGTCAGGAGGGGGAAAAAAACAACGGCAATGGCACCAATCCTTCTCTTGTTGTTCATCTTTATATTCCTTAGAACATACGGAATGCGTTCTGACATAGAACTTATTGAAGAGTAATTTGGAATTTTCTGATGAATCAACTGTCTTTAATCTTTACAAGTTTGAAAGGTATACGTTATTGTTTCCATTTCCCAGATGGAGAAATTGAGGTTCAGGAAGGTTACACAAAGTCCCAGGTCTAAGAAAAATGTCTCCCAGATTCCAAAAGATGTTTCTATTATGCTAATAGTGGCCGTTCAAGCATTAGAGGAAAGGTTGCCCGTGGTATCGCTGGTAAATTCTTCTTCCCACTTTCAAATCTAGAATAGTAAAACAGCAAAAATCCCAACAGGCATGAGAGTTATCGCAGTAGATAGGTTAAGCTGCTTCTCTGCTGTGGTCAACGTCAGCTCTGTTGCGAGGCGGGTTCTCCCAACAATAGCCCACACCATTTCCAGGCTTTTCTGGGCGAGGGGCAGGGCGCCCGGCCCCCAAAGCGAGAAGACAGACAGCCCCGGTTCTCCGCAGCCCCAGGTTTGCTCCTCAAGGACGGAGGGGCCTCTCAGCTCCGGCCGCCTCCTTTCCGCCCCCTGCAGGCCGGCCGGAGGAAAGCTCAGGGCCCAGGTCGGCCCAGGGAGCACGGAACCAAAGAGCGCTAGCGCCGGTTCGGCCGCCTTTCCAGAAAGCCCGGGCCGAACGGCCCCGCCGCAGAGACTCAGCGCGGATCGCTGCTCCCTCTCGCCATGGCGCAGGTGCTGATCGTGGGCGCCGGGATGACAGGAAGCTTGTGCGCTGCGCTGCTGAGGAGGCAGACGTCCGGTCCCTTGTACCTTGCTGTGTGGGACAAGGCTGAGGACTCAGGTGGGTTGTCTAAACGCCAAAACCTGGGAAAAGAGGACTGCCGGGCAGGCTGCTGAGGTGGTGTGGGCCTGCACCCAAGAAAGTCTAAGGCGAAAACGCTATACCCTCAGCTCCCTGAGCGGCCGTGTAGCGCGGCCCATGCGCCGAGTGGCGCGCCTCGTCACGTGATCGGGGACTTCCGCCGCCCGGGAAAAGGCCCAAGAAGGGGCGAGGGTGGGGGCGAGGGTGGGGGCCCGGCAGGAGTACCCCGCGCTCTACAGAGGGAGACCTGAGACAGCGGCGTGGGAGGGGCCCCGACCCGAGTTTGCAAAGCTTGGGCCTACTGCTGTCCCTAATAAATAGATTTTTTGTCTTGGTCTGTCTGTTGGCTTTGCAGCTTTCTGCAGATTATGAGACTCCCAAAGTGATCATAGACCAAGATTTTCTGAAGATCTAGTTTGCAGAATCCTGTCATTCTCATGAAGATTGACTGTATGAATGAAAGAGCATTAGTTGACTCATTTATTCTGACATTTCTTTCATCATTTTTAGTTTTATCCATTCACTGACTCCTATTACTAAATATATGCACTATAATGGTGCTGGACACTGTTACATTGTTCATGACTCCTTCTAAAATCTCACAATCTGATCAAATACTTCAACTTAAAAAAGTTTCTTAAGATATTTTTGAAGTAATCTGTTTGGGGTAACCTAAGGTGCATTGAATTAATTGCTAAGGCTCATTGTCATGCAGTAAGACATTTTCCTGTGGATTAATTCAAGGGGGAAGAATGACTACAGCCTGCAGTCCTCATAATCCTCAGTGCACAGCTGACTTGGGTGCTCAGTACATCACCTGCACTCCTCATTATGCCAAAAAACACCAACGGTGAGTTAGTTGCAAGGAGTGGAATCAATCTTAGCAGTTGTGTGATGTCATAGGGTTGTTGTGAAGATTAGATTAGCTGATAAATGGAACATAGTAAGGGCTCGATAAATATCAATTGCTATGTTGGTGTTATGGAAGAAGGCAACTAGCTGTGATGGGAGTCAATCTTCTGAACCAAATTTAAAATTGATATACTAAATACATTTGTTTGTTTTCATTAACTTTACTTTTAAAATATGCTTACAGAGAAATAGGCCTTTGACTAAAGTCAGCAAACGACCTATGGATTCTCAAAATATTTCTCTTCTTCACCTGTATTATAAGTTTTATTTAACACAAATTATACATTTTATTTAATACAAAATATTCATAGGAAGATATCTAATTTTGATTTTGAATTATAACCTCTGAGAATTATTGAAAGAAAATATAGTCTTTTAGAGCTATTCATGGTATATAATTACATTAAATATACATATTGATTTATTTCAGTTTTTATGATGAACTGTTAGCCTATGGCGTTTTGAGGCCTCTAAGCTCGCCTATTGAAGGAATGGTGATGAAAGAAGGAGACTGTAACTTTGTGGCACCTCAAGGAATTTCTTCAATTATTAAGCATTACTTGAAAGAATCAGGTGGGAGTAAGATTTTCTCTGCCTAAATTTTAAAATTAGCATTTAAAAACAAGTTACACACATAGTTACATATTAATACTATACAGGAAATTATAAATATTAGGTGCTCTATTTGCTGATCAATAGCTAGTCCTTCCCCAAAGTAATCATTGATAAGCTTCCAGTGTATATTTCCGGAACAATGTTTATGCATCTCTCTATTGAGCTACATGGCTGTCTCTATTTATCTATAATATAGATATTATAGATGTATATATATATATATATATATACACACACACACACATACATATATATTTCTTTATATTTATTCTTTTAAAAATATAAAAGGGAATAATTTTGCATAAATGATTCTATACCTTGTTTGACTCATATCTTGGATCTATTTTCATATCAGCAAATTTAGTGTAATCCATTTTCTTTAATGATTGTCTAGTATTTATGACATATGCGTACCATCACTTATTTAACTATTAGCTTTCTGGTAAATATTTAGGCTGTATGGGGTTGGGAGATTGTTTTGGTTTTTGCTAATACAAACATTGATGCATGTCTATTGTTGACATGCTTTTGGAAGCATATCTTTATTTAGGATCAATTCCTCACAGAAGAATAGCTATGTCAAACGATATTTGCATTTTTAACTTAGCTAGGTTGTGCTGTGTATTAATCTTAAAGAACATCTCACCAATAGTGATGAGAATGTTTCTTTCCCCACATTTGGGTATAATGGAAATTTTTAATTTTTGCCAGTGTAATAGGTTAAAAATTGGATCTCTTCGTGGTTTTAATTTGCATTTCTTTAATTACAAATGAGTTTATGCATTGTTTTTGTTTTATTAGCCAGCTCTTTGCAGTTTTCTTCTGTGAATGTCTTATTCATAACCTTTGCCCATTTTCTATTAGGATTTTCATTTGTTCCTTATATATTTTATGAGCGTTTTGAAAATGGACCTTTTAAAAAAGAAAATAGAATTTTTCTTGGATAATTGATGATTATTTTTAAAGGAGAATGAAGCTTCTTGATAAATCATAATTCAGTTAAGTACCCAAGTTGAGATAACTGAGAAAGGATATAGGCTAAGAATTTTTTTATAAGCCATTTCCAGCATAATTACTGTTTTGATCTTTATCATCAAATATTACTTATTGAGAACCCCAAGAATCCTTGACACTGGGCATCAGAGAGGTCAGTAAGATTGAATAAACAACATGAGAACATAATAAATACCATTCTGGCTTAGACCATTTCTCCATTCGAGATTCAGTATATAGATGGTATGTTAGACTACTCCAGAGAAACAGAACCAATAGGGTATGTGTGTGTATGTATGTGTGCATGCATGTGTATATGTGAGTATGGATAAAGAGAGAGATTTATTATAAGGAATTGGCTCACATGATTATGTTGGTTGGTAAGTCCCAAGATCTGCAGGGTGATCCAGCAAGGTAGACACCCAGGAAAGCTGGTGGTATACTTCTAGTCCAAAGGCTGGCAGGCTCAAGACTCAGGAAGAGCCAATGTTTCAGTTCTACTCTGAAGGCTGGAAAAAAGCTGATGAGCCAGTTCAAAGGCTTTCAGGCAGGAAGAATTCTCCTTTATGTGAAGGAGGATCAATGCGTTTGTCCTATGTAGGCCTTCAACTGATTGGATGAGGCCTACCCACATTAGGGAGGGCAATCTGCATTACTTGATCTACTGATAATAAATGTTAATCTCTTCTAAAAACGTGCTCATAGAAACACCCAGAATAGTGTTTGACCAAATATGTAGGCATCCTATGGCCAAGTCAAGTTGACACATAAAATTGACCATCACAGATGGTGACACTATTGGACGTTTTGTAGAATGTTACTATCAGCTTCATATAGTGTGGCCATATCACTTTAAAAAATCTCATTTCCACCATGATTTTCCCCTGACCCAGGTTGGATGAGTATACCTATTGAAATCATCAGGTACTTACTAACTGATATGCGTGCATGCATGCATGTGCAGGAGCTTAGAAAATGATATCCCAAAATGGAGCCCTCAGAAGTAGCTCTCTCTGACCTTCTCCTGCCCTCCTATCTCTGGCCTTGCATTCATCCCTGAGGCTAGCCCTAGAAAATAGAATCTCTTTTCCCAAGGCAGGTCGTAGAAATAAGAACCCCTTTTCCCCCCAAACCAGCCATAAAACCTAAAACTATCACTCTAGCTTTCCCCTGCCTTCCTTTGTAAAAACTGGCCATAAAGAAATTATCTGACCTACCGTGTTTGATTGTAGCTCACAACAGTTCCAGAGAGGGTCATGACCTATAACCATAAAGAAAGAATGCTGCACAGAGAGGACAAGAAGAATCTAGACAGACAGGCCTTGGTGGGTTTTACCAGTTTGTTAGCCATAGATATAACCCTTTGTCCAATCATATTGCTGCAGAGCTGTCCATACTTTGTTGAATCTAAGCATAAAAATGGACTCCTGTATCTTTGGGTCTTCAGTCTGAAGGTTTCAGTGTCATGCAAAACTATGATTAAATAAATTTGTATGCTTTTTCTCATATTAGTATGCCTTTTGTCAGTTGATTTTTACTGAAATTTCACCCCTACACATGCATATATACATACATACACATATCCTTTTGTTCAATAAACATTCATTGAATACTTACCATAATGCCAAACATTGTTCTAGGTACTAATGATACAAGAACCAATGTCCTTGCCTTCATGGAGTTGATGTCCTGGCAGAGAAACATCTTTGAATACATTGCATCTATCTCCTTATTTTGTTATGTGTTTGGGGGAATACATACGTTTTAACTTCCAATTTTGCTTTTTAAGCTTTTCAGAGAAGAGATTATTTTTAATTCCTTGTACCTCACTCAGAAACTAATAGTACCTCCTACATAGTAGGTAGAGTGATATAAATGTTAAAAATTTATTTTATATCAAGTTCATGGTCTATTTAACTTGAGTTTATATAAATTTTTCTTTGTTTATTTTAATGCTATTTAATGTTATTCTTGTAATACTTCGAGATTCTCCTCTACCCCGATCTATTATCTATAGGATTTGTTGGACCCTATCTATAATATTTTTAATTTTATAATTATATCCCTTTTAAACATTCTTTAAGTCCCTTTAACCTTTCTATTCTATAAATGGTCCACAAAAACATTTTGGTTTTTCCACACTATAAGCTAAGACAGTCCCTGAAATCAGAATGACCTGGATTCCAGTTAATGTCCTACCATCCCTTTCTGTTCATGTAATATTAGGAAAGTTTAAAATCTGTACCTCAGTTCTTTCATTGAAAAAAATGAGCGTAATGAAATGCAAAAATGAGGGTACTTACTACAGAATATTGTAATGGAAGTTCTTGCTACAAAGTGTTGTGAGGAATGAAAGATATAATGCACTCAAATTCAAGCAAGTAGTAAGCCAGTCACATAGTAATCTCTTGAAAAATGTTAGTTTAAAAAATATTGTACTTGAATGAAGCTGACCTTCATATATTCCTTACTTTAAGAAATCAAATTGCCAACTATTTTCAAAAATACTCTATATTTTGGAATCTAGTTGAGTTTAAAACCCCACAATCTGATGGACCAACCAGTGGTCATTCAGATTGGGACCAGACTCCCAGGGCAATTATTTGTCTGGGATATGCCTAATCAGGCATGCTTTAGAATAGGTTCAAACCTTTAAAGCCAATATTTAACTAGACCAATTTCCCAGAACAAATAGTAAAAGGTAAAGGAAATAGATGCTTTCTTCTTGACCTTATGTTCTATTTTAATTTATTGTCCGATGTGTTCACATTAACCTCATTGCAGAGAAAGCTGTATTTATTGGCATCAATTTCACTGACTGCCTGCCTTCTCCATTAATACAATCTTCTTGAGTGAGTGAAACATGATTTTCTTTTGTTCTTTTTTTATACTAGTTGTCATTATGCTGGGGTGAGAATTGACAATAGCAAAAGTGATTCTAGCTATCAGTTATTAAGTGCTGACTATTTATCTAATACTACCTGAGGTACTTTACGTATGTAGTTTCTAATTCTCACAGTAAATTTTCAAGGGAGTTAATCATCATCCCTATTTGTTAATGCGAAGAATGAGACTCAGGTACTTTGTCTAAGGTGGCTTGGCTAGTTGGTAACAGAACTGAAGTGCCTTTGCAATTAATCATGTTGTTTTTTTCTATTAAGTCTCTCATGGAGGGCAATGAGAGGTGCTCATACTCTCCAATTTAACATCTATTTTGTAGAGCCTTCTCTTTCCTTATTGATTATTTTCCTATAGTATGAAGATTGTACCCATCCCACCTGGTGCTACGTGTCAGTAGACACATGGTTCAATAGAACAACCTCATAGTTCCCTGTGCCCCTAGTTTCCCTCTTTCATCAGTTAATTCCTGACATAGGGGGAAGTGGATATTGAAGAGTAATACCACCTTAGTTCTTTATGCAACCTGGGAAATTGGTCACCTGATGGTTCCTGCCTATGACATGGAAAATGATGGGCCAGGTCCTTTTGCTTTTGAATAAGGTCCCATGTTACTAAATTATTCAAAAAAGATGAATTTAGCTTCCAGGACACAGAGTGAGCAGCTTTTATTTAGCTTGTCCTACCAATAGGGAGGGCTGTTGCTGCATTTATTTGTTTTTATTTTATCATCTACCTAAAAAGGACATTGGCTAGCGATCCAGAAAGTCAACATTTGCAAAGTAACCTGTCAAAATTGACAAGATCAATTTATTAGAAAAAAATGGTTTAGGTGGCAGATGCCATTAGCTAGGATGGCTTCTGTATTGTAATATTTACTTTTATTATTCTCTCTCTTTTTACTTTTGTGCCTATTTTCTTTCTAAAATTGATAGAGGGGAAGTGAGTCTGGGTGGTTCTGTCTCAAAATTTCTCCCAGCAGGTGATCCTGGCACTCATCCGTAACGATGTCCTTTTTAGAGAAGCTAGAGGATGGCATGAAAACCAGGTTAAGCATTCTTCTATTTACTTCAAGCTGTGTAGTCAGTTAGAGATGGTTCACATCACTTCAGGTCCCACCTGAGCAGTTCTGACTGCTGCTCACTAAAACCTATTTGTGGGAAATCATAGGAGAAACATAAACTTGGATTTTCTCCTTAAAATGGAGGAAGGCCAGGGATAAAATTGAATAAATATATAACAGAAACACATTTGCCTTTGTAAAATGTTTAAACCTTCTTAGACTTCTGATATCTTTATAGCTATCTGAAGATCATTTTATTCTAATTAAATATTATGTGCTGGGGAAACAAAAGTCAATAAGAGACATGATCCTGGCCTCTGTTAATGTAGAGTATAGTGGGAAGAAAAGACATTAAACTAATTATACATACAAAGAAAAGATGCATGATAAATGTTAAGAAGAAAGAGTGAGAGCATTATGAGAGAACTTACAATAAAAGGACCTAGCCCAGTAGGTTTTAGAGGAGTGATGGGGGAGATGTGTTAGGGAAAGCATCCCTGAGGAACTGATATTTTCATGGGTACCTGAAAGGTGGGCAAGAGGGAATTAGGCTGAGAGCTGAATGATGAGAGTTCAATGCAGTGGACACATCAAATTGGAACTGTTTTGAAGCAGTAGGAGGAGGTTAGTGCATTCAAGGAATAAAAGATCATTATGACTGGACGGTAGTGAGTGAGGGAGAAAATGGTAAAAGATGATGCTCAAGACTAAGGCAGGGCCAGGTTATACAGGGCTTTGTAAGCAATGTTAAAGATTTTATACTCTAAGTGCGATGGGAAGCCATTGAAGGGTTTTATGCAAGAGAGGGACATGGTCAAATTTACTAAGCTCAGACATAACTCTTGAGACTATTTATTTATCCATTTTAAAATTGGGTTTTTCAGAGCTTATAGATTTAAACACATAGTCTTTGTGAAAGTTATTAATTACTTTCACAAGGAAATGCCACTTTCCCAAAAACTTTGCTCCAAGCAGTTGGAAAGGAAGCCTTTCTGGTTAATAAGAGAGGCTATACCATTTCTCCTACCTCTTGATAAATGCTGCTTTTTGGGTGGTTTTGCCAGTGGTGTTTGATTTGGGCGTGTCCACCTACCCCAGTGGTTCTCATACTTTAGCGCGCATCATGACAAGACTAAGGGAGCTTGTTAAACATGGATTGCGAGGCTCAATTCCCAGAGTTTCTTATTCAGTATGGTCGGGTTGGGGCCCAGGAATGTGCATTTTCTAGTACATAGGTGCTGCTGGTCTGGGGTTCATACTTAGAGAACCACTGACATATATATATATACACACACACACACACATATACATATACACCTTGGTGTATATATATGTGTATATATATATATATATATACACACACATATATATATAGTATATATATATAATATGTGTGTGTGTGTGTGTGTGTATATATATATATATATATATATATATATATATATACTTTGCAGAACACCTTGTGGCCATTGGGATACATTTTCAAGGCGTTCATCTGGGGCATGAAGAATTTTCTAGGACTGTGAACTTAAGTCCCCTTAAACACACACTCATACCACCAACAATAACAGCATATTGTTCTCTTCAAAGGAATATTATGAGAAAACGTAGAATCAGTTAACTTAGCTGAGGTCTGGGACAGGGCCATGGACTAAGTGAGGCAAGTAGGGTGAGGCATCCTAAATAAATAAAAACAGAGTGAAGCAGAGCTGCCCTTGTTGGAATAAAGGAGATGGTGGATATGTGTTGAAAGTGCAAATTATTTGCACCTTCCCCAAGCAGGGGCCTTAGAAAAGCCCTCAGGCAAGATGGAGTACTGTTTACAAGCCCCTTGCTCTAATCTTTGAACAGAATGATGCACACTGTCTTGAACAGAGATTGATCTCTTGGGCTAGCTAGAACTATGTTTCTTCTAACATTTACATTTGATTTTTTAAAAACTGGAGTGCTTACTAGGGTGTAGCATTATTTAAGGGTCAATGAAAGAGATGAAAGTGTATGAGATCTGAAGACCCGACATGAAGGAGCCTTGAGTATTATTACATAGATAAGATACAACTAAAGCATGCAGATATTTTGAATCAATGTCAAAATTAGTACTAAAGGCAGTGATGGTTGAAGAATATCATAGAGAGGAAGGATCACACTGAGCTGGAGTGGCTACAGAAAGGAAGCTTTGGGATGAACTTTAGCTGGATTTTTAGTGACTAGGAACGTGAGATTTCCCAGGTAAAGATGAACAGGATCTTTCAGTGTGCTTTTTTCCTCCCTCATTCCATCTTCATTTCTTTCTTTTTCTATACACAAAGCTGAATAAAAGTAGATTTGCTTGTAAATCAAAATTTTTTGAAAACTGGAAGGTGAGTACTAGTTTACTAAGGAGACTTAATGACCCAATTGTACTTTCTTTCAGTTTATGGTTCATAATTCATTCTTTTTATTTGTTATGTTGCCTAGGCTGGAGGGTAGTGGTGCGATTTCAGCTCACTGCAACCTCTGCCTCCCGAGTTCAAGCGATTCTCGTGTCTTAGCCTGCTTAGTAGCTGGGATTGCAGGCATGCACTACCATACCCAGCTAGTTTTTGTATTTTTAGTAGAGATGGGGTTTCACCATGTTGGCCAGGCTGGTCTCAAACTCCTGACCTCAAGTGATCCACCCACTTCAGCCTCCCAAAGTGCTGGGATTACAGGTGTGAGCCACCGTGCCTGGCCTCATAATTCATTATTTTAAATAAATACTTAACTAATAAATTCTATGCTATGTATACTATATGCTATACATAGAAATAAAACAGGTATAATTTGTAGCTCATGGGCCTTACAGATTAAAAGGGAAGACAATATTAAAGAAATAATTATTAAAATATCCTTGTGTTAAGTGCTAAGAAGGAAAATGTTATGGGAGGGTACTCTAGAGTATGTTTCTAAATTCTGATTCTTCTTAATGAAGACAATTGATCTATTGATGAGAACTTGCATTTCCCTTACAGAGAACCTTTTTCAGGTCCTTTAATGGGAAATATTAATTCCTTTAATAGAGAATATTGCTCTTCTTATTTCATTGCTAACACACATGTTTACTGAAGTGTATACTTGTTCTGCAAAAATGATGAGCTTTAGAGTCAGATGGTTATAGTTTTAAATCATGGCATGCTATTTCTCAATCTATTTCCTTGTCTGTGAGATAAATTAGTATAATGTGTACCAAGCAGCTGGCATATAGTAGCTGCTTAATGAAAAGTAGCTATAGTTATTATTTTTATTTTTATCACTAATTGTAGGAGTAGTTTTTGATTCAGAGCAGGCACTGATAGGGAAGTCCAAGGATGCCAGGTAGGGATGAATTCCCACTAAATTAGAAAGAAAGTAAAGGAAGAGAGCTGGAGGACAGTAGAAGACAGTCTTGGCCATTTTGTTCACTTGAATGGATTCAGTTTGTGACTACTCACATCCCCTTTATTCATATATGCAATTCTGATAATGGGGACATGATTTTGCTTTTGGAACAGGTGCAGAAGTCTACTTCAGACATCGTGTGACACAGATCAACCTAAGAGATGACAAATGGGAAGTATCCAAACAAACAGGCTCCCCTGAGCAGTTTGATCTTATTGTTCTCACAATGCCAGTTCCTGAGATTCTGCAGCTTCAAGGTGACATCACCACCTGTGAGTCTGCTTTTGCCATTTACCTGCCTCAGGGAATGGGATTTCTTTTGACAAAGCATGAATTTGGTTTAACTCTCTTCGCAAAGGACAAGTGATAGACTCTATTGATTTGCCTGTCTTAAAAACTGATACTTACGGCCGTCGTCATGATATTAATCTAGGCCAAGGTGAAACCCATAGAATGTTTTTAAAGCTGGTTAAAAGTTGAACACTTTTCTTATTGCCCATGTCTTCAACACGTCAGTATTTTTGATGGATATGAAATGATTTTGCCTAAAGGAAGAGCAGTTTTTGTGGCCATTTTTGAGAAAAGATTTTTATGTACAAGTACTTGCTTGGATTGCCTCCTTTCCTATGTTCTTGTTCTCTGGGTTGCTCTCTAATTGTGTTTACTTCTGTCTGAGGCAATTGTCTAGCTAGCTCTTTTGTGAACGAGAGGCATGACAAGGGATGGGTGAGAGGGGATGAGTAAATTTTGCTGAAGAAGCTGAAATTATGCCAGAAGAGCCAAATTTTAATAAAGGAACTAAAAGTCAAAGAAAATTTTTATCCTTTCTAAGCCTTTGGATACTGCAGTTGGTTTAGCATTATTCACTTTACCTTAGATAGTAACCTTTGTTTAATTTCTTTTTGATATAAAACATGTGGTGGGGAAAGTATGTGCAGAGGGTTTGATTTCCTATCTTTCCCCAAAGTAGACTCTAAACTACAAATAGCCAATTTAGAAATGTCATTTACATGCTTATATCTTTCCTAGTTGACAGCAGCTATTTACTCTCAGAGGTGGGAGTAGGGGAGGTGGATAGCTAAGATTTTCTTAGGTAGATACCTAAGATTTTCTTCGTGATTCCTGAGGGTTCCTGGTGCACTGCCACCAGAAACTTGTGATAAATCCACAGACATCTTTTTCCTGCCACTTTGACTCAGCACAGATGAGATGTAACTCAGTGCAGGTGGGATGGCAGTGGTAGAATTTGCACTCTTACTGCCAGAAATGCTGGGGATAGTGGGAAGGAGAAGATAGTAAGCCAGTGGCCAAATTAGAATTTCTAGTATACATGTGAACAACAGGAGACTTTGGGTTTATTCTAAGTCAACTCTGAGATCCAGAGGTGAACAGGGAAGTAATGTCAGCAAAAGGCACATGTGAGGAGTCTGAAAGCTAAAATTCCTGTACTAAGTAGTAGGAAGGAATTCAGATATGAGAAACAAAAAGGGAATAAAGGTATTAAGTACTGGGGCAGGGAGGATACATTTCTCCAAGAAGTTGCACTTGCTCAGTTAGCTTTTGTTTCATCAGGCCAGTTTTCCTTACTGATACTACAATCCTAGCTGACGGTGTTCATTTTAATCATAGAAACTCAGAATTGAAGGGAGTCTTAGAGAGCATGTGGTCTCATCTTTTAGCCCTTGCATGAGTCCTCTTTTATTAAATCACTTTGAGTATGATTGACATATGAAAAGCTGTACATACTGTATACAGTGTGATGAATTTGGAGATAAGTATACATTCTTAAAACCATTACCACAGTCTATGCCATAAACATATCCACATCACCTCCAAAAGCTTTTTCCCCTTTATTTGTTATTTTTTTCTTTTGTAATAAGAATGCTTAACATAGGCCAGGTGTGGTAGCTCATGCCTATAATCCCAGCACTTTGGGAGGGTGAGGCAGGAGGGTTGCTTGAGCCCAGGTGTTCGAGGTCAGCCTGGGAAATATAGCAAGACCTCATCTCTACAAAAAAAAATAAAGTAGCAAAGCATAGTGGTATGTTCCTGTAATCCCAGTTACTCAAAAGGCTGAGGCGGGGAATTGCCTAAGCCTGGGAAGTCAAGGCTGCAGTAGGCCCTGACTGTGCCACTGCCCTCTAGCCTGGGTGACAGAGCAAGACCTTGTGTCAAAAAAAAAAAACAAACCAAAAAAAAAAAAAAAAAAAAGAATATACAACATATTAGATGTACTATTTTAACAATTTTTTAAGTATACAATATGATATTATTAACTATAGTTGCTAGGCTATACAGGGGATCTCCAGGATTTACTTACCTTGCATAATTGAAACCTTGAAACTTCTGACTGAAGTGCCCTGTTTTTAATTCCCCAACCCCGTGGAACAAGAATTATATAAAAAGCCCTAGCTGGCAACAATCTGGTGAGAATATGACCTTTAGAAAAGATGTGCCCCATCAGTATCATTGTGCCTCTGCCCAAGACTTAAATTTCAAGAGAGCATCCTATTGACCTGACATGGGTCTTATTCCCACCTCATGGCTAGGGAATTGCAGCATCTTGGATTATAATCCTATTGCATTGCATGTAATCAATGGGACAAAGTAACACCTCAAAATAAATATAGGTACTGCCATGAAGAGAACTTGTGTGCTGAGTAATCAAGAACAATGAGTGTTTACTGCATAGGTGTTCTTTAATATTTGCGAATTGAGTGAATGACCAACTGACCAACTGAATGAATGTGTTTCCAAAAGACCTAAGGAAAAACTTCACTGGTCCGTATTACTTCTTCACATTCTCTGTAAAATTCTCATTAATAGAATCCCATAATAGACTTTTTTCTTATTCTATTCATATTCTATTTTCATTAAATATGGATTTGTATGAAGAAAGAAAGAAAAACTCTATATTGACAATGGACCTTATTTTTTAATGCTTTTTATGTAAATCTGAATTTGGCTTGCTAATATGTTGTTTAGGATTTTTGCATTCATGTCCATGAGAGTGATTGAGCTGTAGTATTTTTTCTTGTATTAATTTCTCCAGTTGTTGGACATGGAGGTATGTAGGCCTCATAGAATTATTTGGGAAATTTTTCCTGTTTCTGTTCAGGGGAAGCATTTTAATACAAGTTTGGTGTTATTTCTTTCCTAAATGTTTAGAAGAATTCACTGGTAAAACCATTTAGGCCTAGAGTTTTCTTTGTGGTAAAATTTTAAATTACAGATTCCATTTCTTAAAGGAATCTATTCAGACTTGTTTGTTTATTCTTTTTTTGTCAAGGTGCTAGAATACTATGATATAATCTTTATTTTTTATTTTTTATTTTTTTAGCTTTTATTTTAGGTTTGGAGGTACATGTGAAGGTTTGTTACGTAGGTGAACATGTGTCAATCTTGTTCATCTGGCTAGCCAGTTGTCCCAACACCACTTATTAAATAGGGAGTCTTTTCCCCATTGCTTGTTTTGCAGTAGACCTTATTTTTTAAAATACTAGTTGTTTATGCTTAAGTTCAGATCTGAAAATTGTATTTACATATTCCTTTGACTTTCATTAACTTAATTAGTTCTATATGTTCATTTTGATTCATTTACTTTTTATCAACTTACTTATTTTCAAATAGTATGTTGCTCTGTATGAATTTCTATTTACCAGGTAAGAAGGGTGTCCTGAATCATGCCAGGAATGTGAATTGACATCCTTTTTGGTACTCCAGCTGCTGTCTCTCTCCTTCATCCAGTGTGTCTGGGAAGTCCAATCTAATATCTATATGCCCTAGAATTGAAATATTAAATCTTTGAGAGAACTTCCGATTTCTCACAACTTTGCTGTTACAAAAAAAAAAAAGTGACATCTTGGTTTTTAAATTGGAATACTTTCCTGTTAAAACCTTAAATATCTAAAACATCTGTTTCAGTTCCTTTTCAGGTCTGTGAACAATATAGCTAAAACCTGGGTTTTGCTTTCCTTAACAAAGGTTAAAACAAAAGTTTCTTAGAAAAATTGCTTGGTAATAGCTATTCCCAAGCCTGACAAAAAGAACTAGAAGGGTACACCATATTATGTTCACATCAAGGGTCTGGGTGCAGAATGTTCACCCTGTCTCTAGTGGATTTTTGTTGCCATTGTTTTGGTTTGTTTTTATGCCTGCATCTGAATCACCTGGAAGACTTGTTAAAACACAGATTACTGGGCCACAGTCTGAGTTTCTGGTTGTATCGAGGTATGCATGGACAATTTGCATTTTTTACAAGTTTCTAGGTGATGCTGAAGATTCAGTTCAAAGCCGCACTGTGAGAATTATTATTAATACCGTGCCTTAGCAAATCTACTTGTTTCTGGAACAGAGCAACGAATGTATCTTCAAAAAGTGACTCGCCTTGTAAACAAGTAATGCTACTGTGCAGCCAGGGTTGAGAACTGCTGTCATAAAGCATCAGCCTGTCCAAACAATTTGTATCTCTTTTCCTCACATTTGCACCTTTGCTTTGCGTATATTGATTATATGAACCCATGCGACATCTCATCTTGGATTACTCTTGAGTCTCTGTCTTATGCTCTTCCCTGCTTGGGACCTCTTGGCTCACCTCTTCCCTGACTTCTTCCTCAACCCCTAAGACACACCTCTTAAAACAAAACAAAACAACAACGACACACACAAAAAAATAGCTTTAAGATTATAAGTCACATACCATACAATTCACCTATCTAAAATGTACAATTCAGTGGTTTTTAGTATAATAACTGATATAGGCAACCATTATCAATGTCTGTAATTAGTAAATTTTGGAATTTTTTATCACCTCAAAAAGAAATTCTGTCCCCTTTAGCTATCACCCCCATCCCTCCATCCCCATCCCTGCCCCCAGCCCTAAGCAATCATTAATCTACTATCTGTCCCTATAGATTTCCCTATTACCTGGATTCCAGATAAAAGGTCATGATGGAGCTGGAGGCCCTCATCCTTAGCAAATTAATGCAGGAACAGAAAACAAAATATGGCATGTTCTTACTTTTTTGTGGCTCTGTTTTGTCAGTATCTGCACAGATTTCACTTATTTTCTCCTGCTTTCATCATGGCTCACTGACCCTGGCCCGTCAAGTCATTGAATTGTAGAGGGTACCTCATCTTTCCTGAAGCCCATGAGCTATAACAGAGTCTGGTCGTGGTGGACAAGGCTTCAGGGCTGTGGGATGGCAGTGGGTATTGATATGCCTGTAGCTTTTGACTTTGTTGCACAGCTAACATTGACCTTGGTTTTGATAGAGAAATGGCTTTTTATGCCACTAATAGAAAGAAAACTGGTAATAAATATGTTTTATAGATCTTAGATTTAGAACTATAGAAGAAATTGTTTTCTGAGGAAGGGTATAGCTGCTGTTAAATTTTGAAAGCATTTTTTTCCTTGAGTATCATTTCTACTATGCAGAAATAATATAGCTTATTTTCTAGTACAGTGTGTGATAATAATATAGAAGAAATTGGAATATTTATTAGATGCCTGTAGGCAAAGTGGGAGACTAATTTGAATGATCTCTTCATGAATCTACTTCTAGTTTGTTGCCAATGACATTTAAAGTAGGATAATTTATTGCCATGGAGGTTGGCAATAATTGGATTGATTTTGAGATTGTTTTAATAACATACTATAACATTTTATAAAAATACAGTGTAGCCATCAGTCAGGACATTCATTTGTGCTGTAAATTACATACTCCAATATTTAAAAACTGCATAGTTTTGTATATCAAGAGAGATCCTTTAACATTACATTTTGAAAGTATTTCTCAATATTTGTATTAGTGACATCTAAAGCAACACCGTGTCATAGACTGTCTCCTAAATGTGTTTAAGGGCTTGCTAATTAATAATTTTATTTAGCTCTTTTTACATCTTATATTTTGTGTGTGCACTTGAGCTGTGTTTGGCTGAGAAAGATAACTTAACTCACCTACTATTATTACTTTTCTTTCTGTCTTTCCTGGGTTTTTTTGTGGCAATTTTTGCTTTATGATTTTATTTGATTTGTACTAGACCCTCATTAAAATTATATCCTTTGACTTAAAAAGTTCTCTCTTTAGTTTCATTTTAATTTTATTTTGCTTTCAAATAAACTTTTATAAATGAAATGTTCTCTCTTTTATTTTCTTTTTTCTGGTGTATGCTTTTTCCTCTAAACCTTTCAGGGATATTTTACTTTAGAGCCATCTCTTTTATATTTTTTATCTTTGAGCCCAGTAATTTCATAAGTATATATCTTATTGTTACTAGTTTTGTGTTCATTTTTCATGGGCTATGTTGTCCACTTTTGCCTTGAACATTCAGCTCTTCTCTTATTTAGGTAAGTTTCCTTCTAATACTTATTGGAAGATTTATTTGTTTCATTTATTATGATCTCAGAGTATCTACAAAAGCTTAAAGTATCTCCCTCTCAAAGCTTCTGTTTTCTTTTAACTCACTTTCAACTTTGATCTTTGCATTACTTTTTTTCTAGCCTTTTCTCCATGTCATCCATGTAATTTTCAAGAGTTCCTTTTGGCCCCTTCCTTGAGGTATTGTTTCAAAGAGGTCCTGTATTCTTTTACTGTTACTGAACTAATGCCCGAGTGTTTGTTGAACTAATTTGCTTCCTGGCAAAATTTTTCTGATATGTATTTTTCATCAGCTCATTTCTTAGGTTCTGTTCTTTTCTGTTCTGTTGTCTTTCTCCTTTTCTCTGCATATGTCTCTTGTTAATCATTACTCATCTTTAAATGGGACCAATTCTGTCAATTTTGTGAAAAATAGTGTTGTGGGGCAAGACCAGACTTTTCAGTTAAGGTATGTGTTCTCAGAACACTTCCTGTGTACATTTTGTAAATATATACCCATGAAAAATAGAATGGTAGTGACCACTAATATAATAATATATTTATTAACAGAAATATTTATAAATATTTTTAACTTGGAAAGAAGATTAAAGTATGTATTTATATATTTTTTCATGAATCAGAAATAATTTGACAAACATTAACATTGGCTATTGCTCAGATATGATTTTCATTTTCTTCTTTACGATTTTTTGAATAATCATAACTTTAAAAATAAGAATAGTTTACTCTTATTATAAAAAATGATATTGGCCGGGCGCGGTGGCTTCTGCCTGTAATCCCAACACTTTGGGAGTCTGAGGTGGGCGGATCACGAGGTCAAGAGATCGAGACCATCCTGGCCAACATGATGAAACCCATCTCTACCAAAAATACAAAAATTAGCTGGGTGTGGTGGAGTGCGCCTGTAGTCCCAGCTACTCAGGAGGCTGAGGCAGGAGAATCGCTTGAACCTGGGAGGCGGAGGTTGCAGTGAGCCAAGATCACGCCACTGCACTCCAGCCTGGTGACAGAGCGAGACTCCCTCTCAAAAAAAAAAAAAAAAAAAAAGAAAGATAACGTTGACACTGTTTTAAAAAAATGTATCATGCTGAAAAGAAATAGATCTTCTTTCCTTTTTTTTTAGTGGAGGAGTATTGTGCCATATGTAGGCTCTTTATGATGAAAAAGTTTAAGAATAATTGACTTGGTATATTTGACTGAGGATGAGGGTCTTTGGATGTTATATTGAGCTGACTCAATTCAGAATTGGACCCCCATGGAAATCATTTTGTGTTTAATTCATTGTTATGAAATAATTCTCTCTGGCACTAAAGACTTAAACTAGAATGTCCCCACAAGATCCTTTAACATCTGTGGGTCAAATCAAAGGGATTAAAACATGACCTCAGTATGAAGAATTGGTTAATGTCTACCCTTCTCTCTGTGTTTTCTGGAGAAAAATCAGCTCTTATTTGATTATTAGACGTCTTAGGCTTCTGTGAAAAAGACATCCACTTACAAAGCCATATATTGCCATCTAGTGTGTGAAATATATATTGTAGTTCCCCTTAGAATCTAAACTAGAGAGGACTGTGAAAATGACAGAAACATAGAATAACACTATAACTATAATATTCACAAAACTGCATATCACAGGGAAATAAATTTAGGCCCATTAGAATTACATAACTTACCAAAAAGTGCTTGATTAATGAGTGACAGAATTAGGAATGTACTACATGTTTCACATTTGTACAGACTATGAACAGCCACGTCTGTAGCTTCCTGTGTTTTTCTTCTCATTCTCATTCTCTTTCTCTCTCTTTCTAATCATATGTAGCCTTTAGGATTAACATAAGTATCATATCTTATGTGAAAGAATTCCCTTTACATTATAGAGTGGTCTGGATTTTCTGTCATCCAACTCTCTCTATTTTGCTTCTTATGGAAGAAGCAGATGTAATTGTTTTTTCATTTGGCAATTATTTATTACATTTATTAAACTTCCTCCCAGCTGGGAGAATAGAGAAACCTCATGTATCATATTGTGACCCTCTTATGATTTACTTTCTGATTCTATAATAGTGCTACTTTCTCTATATTCTTATTACAAAGATTATATCACTTAATCCTCAAAGTAATGCTAGGCATTATTATTGTCTCAATTCTTGGTGAAACTGAGATGTGAACCTCAGTAAAATGACTCCAGAGCTTGTACTCTTAACCACTGTTATGCATAGCTCTTCCATGTGTACTTGATCTTCCTCTCTACCATGCACAGAAATTCCTCAAACCCCTGACCCTTAAACATTAGATTCAGGAATTCCTAATCTCTCCTCCTAGTTTTACTTCTAGTTATAGCACTCATCTCCACCCCCCACCCTCTGATTTTCAGGGATTCACCAGTTTAATCCACCTTAAGATCCTGCAAGAGAAAGATGCTTTACTTTCTCATGTGTGTGTGTGCATGTGTGTGTGTGTGTGTGTGTGTGTGTGTGTATTTGCAGTCATCACAACCTTTCAAAACACAATGTTGAGCTTCTCTTTCCTAGATTGGAGGATGGGGAAAGGAGTTTGTTTTCCCTAAATAATTTATCCTTGTAAATTTTTTAATTTCTAGTTGCTGTGTGATAGCAAAGATGTAATAAAAGCGGAGAAGATCTCAAGAAGGCAAACTCTAATAACCAAAGGATCACATCCATATGTGAATATATGAATAACAGAAATAAAATTTCTTTATCTAGAAATATAGAGCTTCACAGATCTACAATGCCAATAGATGCAGATATAGAACAGATATGCATATGTATGTTTAATTATAATTTAGGAGAACATGGAATTGTTTTTAAAATTCTAAAATACAACCACAAATTAAGGAAATGCTACTTTATTTCAATGTAGAAAAGTTTTCAATTAATAAGACATTATTTGACTGAATAATTTTGCTTACATTTAAAAATTATAGCACTTGTTCATCCAGTATAATAGTTTCTGAAAGTTCCAGTACATTTATAGATGCTAGGTTTTTAAATGAACTATTAAAATAAAGATCTTGGGGGTACCTTTCTAACTTTCCAGGGATACTCAATAACTGCTTTCTCAGTGGTGACCTGTATACCATCCCACTCCTTTCCTCACATAATGCTCTGGTACGCAAAACAAAGCTTCTCACATCCTCCTGTCACTCTGTTCTTTCCAACCTCTGGCTACATTCTCTGGCTTCAGCTATCTAATCATCAACTTGGACCTTAATGCTATACTTAAGATATGTGAAATTGTTCAGTGGATTTTTCAAAACTATATTACAGTATATTAAGAGTATCTTTTCAGTGCCAGTGAATATTCATGTGCATCATTATTTTTACTGTGTAGTGCTCTCGTCTTTTGATTTACCTTAATGTAGTAAACCAGTTTGATGGGCATTTAGGAGATTTACAGTATAACAAAGTGTGGCTTTAATACTGCCAATATGAAATAAAGATTCTTTTCACTAAACTCTTTTCCTATGGAAACAGTTATGTTGATGTAGAGTAGAATAAAGCCCGCTTGATTTTTGTCCTGTTTTTTCTTAGCTAATCTATTTTTTATTTCTCTGAGTGTACTTTAGAATCAGGTTTCATTAAAAACTCCTGTTGGAATATTGATTTGAATTACACTCAATTACACTGCATTAGTTTAGGAAGAATTGGCATCTTTATAATAGATCATCTTCTCATCTAAGAAAATGAAACATTTCTCCACTTATTTAGGTATTTTTAATGTCCTCAGTAAAATTTTATAGCTTTTATCATAAGATCTTACACATTACTTATTAGGCATGTTAAGAAATATTTTATAATATTTATGGAGATTGTGAATAAGATCACTTTTGTTGATTTATGGTTACTTGGTTTTAGATGTTTCCAGAGAACAATATACCTACCTGAGTTTTTAAATCCAGCATGAAAAATCTCTTTCTTTCAATAGGAGAGTTTAACCCTTTTATATTTATTGAGATAACTGCTGTGTTGTTATCTTTTCCGTTGGTATCTACTATTTATTTTTTTCTTTTGATAGATGAGTTCAACCCTTTTACATTTATTGGGGTAAGTACTATGTTGTTTTTATCCTTTTCATTGGTGCCTACTATTTACTTTTTTCTATTTTTAAATTTTTGCTGGTTTTATCAAGTATCTCTTTATTCCTTCCCACACAGTCTATTCATAGAATGCCCAACAAATTGTCATTTCATTCATGGTTCTCTTCTTATTCCTTACAAACCTATTTATTCCTGGCCCTGCCCTCCTTTCCATTCCCCAGAGCTAACTGATGTTAACAGTTCAGTGAGTGCCCTTCCACACTTTGTTCCAACCATATAAAGCTTTGGATGACTGTGCGTGCCTTCTAAAATTATTGTTTTGCACTTTGCTTATTTACTCAACATTATTTTAGATAAACATCTGATTTATTTTTATTTAACAGCTGCATAAAGTTTTTTAGTTTGGGAGTACTGGAATTTAGTCTTTCATCTCTTGTTTATCTATGGACTTTCATGTGGTTTCCAGTTTTTTTCTCTATTAAATGCTATGCCTTGAAAAACATCCTTGTTTACATATTCTTATAAACTGATGCTCTTAATGCTATATTGGGTGATAAGATCCCCAAAGTGAAATTTCTGGCTCAAAAAACCTGTATGTTATAATAAGTATTGCCATATTACCTTCCAAAAAGTTTGTCATGATTCTCACTCTTACGTTTGACAATGCCTGTTTGCCTATATACTCATCAGGACCGGATATTTTAAATTTTTATCAATCTTAACATTTCTGCCAAAGTGATAAGTAAAAACAGGTTGATTGCTCTTGCATTAATTTGCATTTCCCTTGACCAAAAGTAAAATTGAGCCTCTTTTCATAAGCTTATTGGTCATTTAGAGTTTTTCTTCTGTGAAATGTCCCAGTCATGTCCTATGCTTACTTTTCTAGTGGATTATTTGTTTTTTATGAGCATTTCACACATGAAGGATATCAATATTTGTAATATAGTACTACATATATTTCCTAGACTAGCATTTATTTATCTTTTGCTTTTGTTTATTATTTCATTTGCCATAATAATTTCTTAAGATTTTTATTTAGTCAAGTGTGTCTTTTTCTTTAATAGATACTTGACTTCCTGATTGCTAAGGATTATCTCCCTCACTCTAAAGTCATATAAGTATTCTGAATTATATTCCTAATATTTTTAATTTTTATCCTTTACATTAAAATCTTTATATGGAATATATGTTTATATAAAATATGAGAAAGGTATCTAGCTTTGTTTTTTGTCTTTCCAGAGTGAAATCCATTATATCAGCACCATTTATTTAATAAGAGATTATTTTTTTGCCCACTAAATTGAAATTCCTCATTTGCCGTATGTTAAATTCCATATATACTTGAGTCTGTCTCTGGATATCTGTTCTGTTCCATTTATTTACTTGTGTTGCAATATCGTCATTGTTTTCATTATAATCAATTTGTGGTTTTAAGTCATTTTTAAGGAGTCTGAACTATTTGACCTGTAAACATGAGACAGCTTTATTTTTTCCCAGAACTGCCCTCAACGTCTCTATGTTGAACTCCATGTCTATCTAGAGAGGATTCCTTAATGACATCTTGGTCCTTTGCTATAACTTTCTGGTCACTTTTGGCCATTAGAACAGTCTCACTTTGGTTTTGAAGACTCGCTGTATTTATGTTTAAACTTCGGTCTCAGTTTGGAGCTCATTCTCTCTACCCTAAACTCCAGCTAGACCTGTCTGTGGCACCTGTGGTGCTAGAGAGTTGTAGCAGAGTGGATTATGGGTCTGTGTGTGTATGTGTGTGTGTGTGTGTGTGTGTGTGTGTGTGTTATCTCTGAACATCTACAAACTATAAGCTTACAGAACCATTGATTGCCTCTAAGACTGACTTCTTGGTGGTAGGGAGGGGCAATTGGCTGCTCTTGCCTGTTCCTCCATGATGGTCTATATGTAGACCATATGTGTGGTGTGTTTCTTTGGCCAGTGGGTAGTGTTTAGCCTCCTATGAACCTTTCTGTTGCTGTTAACAGTCCCCTCCTTATAGGCAGCCCTACCAGCAGAGCTTTGCCCTAGTCCCCATGGGTTCAACAGTTCAGCAAGTACATAGCCAGGGAACCAGGTCTCTGTTACTCCTCCTGGGAGCTCCCTCCCAGAGTTTGCTTCTGAATCATTCTCCAGTAGGCTCCTAAGGAGGAGCTACTACTCTCTGCTTACGGGGTTTGGAAGATAAAGCTCTCCAGAAACATTGCACTCTCTGTAGGGCCAAGCTTTCACATCTGTTTGAATATTTTTCCTATATTGCCTGGGCTGTGGGGCTCAGGGTAGTGGGGCTCAGGGTAGTGGGACCAGTTTTGACTGATCGTTTCCCAGATCTTTTGAGAGCTGTTGGCTAACACCTTTTCCTGGTGGCTTCTTTAAATGTAAGATCATTACTGGGTTTTTTTTTTGTCCCCAGCTTTACAGAAAGCAAGAGTAATTGGGAGAAATACTGTTGCAATAAGTTTTAATGCCTGGAAGGCAAGAATTTCCTTGCCATATCTTTACTAATATATCTTAATTTTATAATAACCATCAAGCAGATTTGTTTATTGACCTCCCTCTGCCCTACTTTAGGCCCTTTTTCATCCTTCAACCTCAGCTCAAAACCACTTCCTCAAGAAAGTCTTCCTAATAGAAGAATTATAATGTAACCAACACAAAGAAAAGATAAATATTTGAAGTGATAGGTATTCCAGTTATCCTGATTTGATCATCACATATTTATACATGTATCAAAATATCACATGTACTCTAAAAATATGTAAAACTATGATATATTAATAAAAAATACAAGAAAAAAAAAGTCTTTCTGACCCCCAAGACCAGGCCATTTTTCCCATTACATGTGCTCGTAGTTTTCGGTGACTTGTATTTTTAACACTTATCACAACTTTAATTAATTAACAGTTTAATCCATTGTGCAATGTGTGTCTTTTCTGGTAGAATATAGAGTCCACTCAAACAGGTACTTGCTTGGACTTACCTGTTCCTGTTTTCCCAGGATTCCTTTGTGAGTGCCTCGTATATGTAGGCTCTCAGTCTGCATTGAATGAATGAATGAATGAATGAGTGAAACAATCTGAAAACGTCTTGGAGGACATTCAGTGGGAAAGGGAGAGAGTGCTTTAGAGAGAAGAATGGTCTTATCATAAAGTTTGAAATAGAAATGTTCATTTTATATTTGGGAGGCTGAAAATGGACTGATTTGGTAGGAGCTAGGCTTTATGGTGGGGAATTTTAGAAGATAAAACCAGAGAGATGGATTTGGGGCAGATTATGGTGAGCCTTGGAGGGGAACATCTGTTGAACAAATGACAGGGGTCTTAGTTCATCAAAAATACTGAATCTATCTTTCAAAACCTGGCTGGATACATTGAGGTGGTAAATAACTTTATCTAATTAGATTGGAAGAAAGAAAACACTCTTAAGACTTTGAGAAATGTTGTTCTAAAGGCTGTTAACCTTAACATATGCTTAAACTGACACGTAAAACATGAATAAGTTATACTACAAAGATGCAAAATTTATTATGCACTGTAGAATATAATGATAAAATACTACCCATAATGAATACCTTCAACTTCCTTTCTATAACTTCTAGAATTTTCCATAATTCTTGATGGAAAAATGAGAACGAAATACTTTTACTAAAAGACGTTTCTAATTCTTGATTTTTTCCTTGACATTTTGCTGAAAAGAGTTTTATTAAAAGCACAAAGAACGAAAGTCCTGTTTTCATCAAATAGTATGCTTCATTGCATTTTTCAGCAGACCATCTCCATAGGAGGGGGAAATATTCAGTTTCTAAACTTCTGACACGAGCTGGTCTGTTGGGCTGCCTGCAAACTTATAAACTGGGATCTTAATTTTAGAAAAAACAGTTATTAGCCTTACATTTTTAATGTATTAATTAAATATTGTCACCTTTGATATTTTATCATGTTCTTGTATTTTTATATTTATTATTTCCTAATTCTCTTGTCTTTTTAAATTTATTATTTGCTAAATGGCAGATTGGGAGTCTGTTCTACTTAATCTTTCTTTCTCTAAGTGCCTGAGAGGCTGCCCAACTGAATCTTCACCTCTCTGCCACCTTCCACAAATGGGGACATCAGTAGAAACAGCGGAGACTTCCATCATCTTGGAGTTTAGGGTGATCTGGCACTTCTGTTATTGCAGTTATTACTCACTTCTGCTCCTGGCAGGACAGAGGGAGTTTACCTACTTAAGTGTCCCTCTGGGGAACTAATTAGTTGTGTCAGAAAAAAAATAACAACATAAAGTTGAGGATAGCTGGAAGATGATGATAATTCCAATATCAACACAATTTTGTGAATACTTATGTTAAGCACTTTCCTAAATTATAATTTTTACCCTTCACAACCACTTCATGAGAAATATTATTATTCCCATTTTATAGAGGAGGAAAGTGAGAAATTATGTTAACTTGCTTAAGGCTCTCTAGCTGTTGAGTGGTAGAACCAATTATGGAATCCAAATCTTCTCCAGGCTTTAGTAATTGGAGCGGTATACCTTTTTGCCCCTCTCCTAGCAATTTATCCTTTACCAATGTGTGCAATCTCTCCATGCTTGATATAAACGCATCATGATGTAAATATTTTCATAGTTTTGTTCTCATACACATGCTGTCAGTAGATGTGTGATGTTTTAAACTAGGCCACCAGGTTGCTACCCTAACAGAAGGAAAGTTTCCCCCTTAATGCTGCCTTACTGACTGTGTGCTTCTTTTAGAACTTGGAGCCCTATTTTTCATTTAGAGTTCTTCGATAACAGAAAAGCTTTAAAAGGAAATGTCCATACTAGAGATGGGGATGAGATGAAAGAGCAGAGAGCTATAATTTATGGAATTGCGTCATTATCACCAACTGAGTCATCAACTGAATTGAATTAAACTTTTCCCCATCTGAGCTGGCAAAGGCATTTTCAAAAGAGAAGAAATTTGAGAAGTAAGATTTTAGCTTTCTGGCAGAAATCTCTGAAGATTCAAATATAATGTGCTAAATCCAAATAAGAAAGTATTACCACAATCAACTACTAATTTTAAAGTAGGGAATTCTAAATATTAGTGAAAAGAGAGGAAGGGAAGGATAAAAAAAAGAATGGGAGGAATACTGGCATTCTTCACTGGATAAGCTTTAGTCCAAATTTGTTTTTTTTCTTCACAAATGTATCTTATATAAGTAGTTTTGTATTATATTGCCTCAGATTTATGAGACTTGTTTATACACTGACTGGACATTTCTGACCGTCATTCTTCTGAAGTCCTGTTTCCAAAGTCTGACATTTTTTCATTCTGACTTGAATGTTTATGTCTAGAAAATAATGAGAGAAAATCTAAAATGTATTTGAGTAGCCAGCACAGAACACTTTTGTAGTATTTACTAGTCTAGAAGTCTCTGTTGGTTTGAGTAAGATATTTAAATGTTGATCTCTCCTAAAATTTGCTACATGAAATAGCCAAAGGAAATCATCATATCTGAAGCAGAATTTGCTTTCTATTTCTGTGACTTTTTAGATACTTTTTGCATCTTATAATTTTACTTGCCAAATGCATATGAAAATATGAGATTTTACTCCAAGAAGAGAAATTAAAATTCAGTTTTATTTTTAAATGGCACTTGTCATCTTTTATTAAGATGTCAAATTCATTTTTTTTTCATTTTACAGATATTGAACATCTACTATGTGCTAGACACTGTTCTAGACACCCTGGGTACAGCAGTGAACCAAACATTAAAAGCTCCAAGGAACTTCTATTCTAGTGGAAGGAGGCATAATATTGTATAGTATTTGATCCAGGGGGTGGAGGAAAAATAAGTGAATATCTATGTGAAATGATGGTACATGCTGAGGGAAGAGAAAACAAGATAGGAGAAATAGAAAATGACAAGGAATACTCTTGTATATAGTGTGAGCAGGTCTGTGACAAGGTGATTTTTAAACAGTAGACACCTGAAGGTAGTGAAAGTGTAAACCAAGAGAATCTCTGGAGGGATATCCAAATAGAAGTTCCTTGGAACAAGTAGGAAGGCCCCAAGCAGTGAGAAGTTTTATAAGGCAGCCAGTGTGGCTGTCATGCAGTGTATATGAAAGGGACAGTGGCAGAAGATGAGAGCAGAGAGGAAGCAGGAGGCTCAATTAAATAGGGCTTTGTGAACTGTGATAGAGACATTGGATTTTACTCTCCATCAGATGGGAAGCCATTTCAGGAAAGACCTTATGTGACTTAGATTTAGGGATTATGAATTTACCTTGCTGTTGTTTTGGAAGTTAGACTGTAAGAGGGCTGAGATGACCAGATGAACTGATGTTGTCAATGCAGAGACCAGAAATGATGGTGGCATGGACTACAGCAATACTGGTGGTACATTGAGCAGTAGGTGCAATCCAGATGTACAAGGATCCCTCATTTTTGCATCAATTCTAAAGGGTTCAGGTTGCTACAGACACTTGATTTCAAAAGTATGGCTGCCAGGATTTGCTGATGTATAGATATGGACTGTGACAGTGGTTTCCAGAGTGAAATCACTGTTTTGGGATTGAATAATTGCAAAAACAGAGTTGTCTTCTACCAAAGGGAGAAAACTGAGGGAGAAGTAGGTTTGTGAGGCAGGTAGTGAACTGGGAATCAAGAAGAGAAATTTGGTCTTGGATTGGGTTTGAGTTGCTTAATAGAGATTCAAGTGGGAATACTTATGCAGTTGAATATAGAAGGTTTCAGGAGCAATGTCTGAGCTGGAGAGATATATTTGAAAATCATCAGTAGAGAAATAGTATTTAAAGCCATGGAACTGGATGAGGTCCAAGATTGAACCCAGAGAAACTGCAATGTTTGGAAACTAGAAGATTAAGAGGAACCCCAAGAAAGACTGAGAGGGAGATGCCAGTGAGTGAGGGGGAAAACCAAACATGTATGTTGTCCCATAGGCCAAGAAAGTGTTTGAAGAAGGAGGAAGTCATCAGCTGTACCAAATACTGACTATAGTTTCATCTAAGAGTTGCCCATTGGATTTCGCAATGTGGAGGGTGTGTCAGTCCATTTCACGTTGCTGTAAAGAAATACTTGAAGCTGGAAGAGATATATTTTGGCTAACAGTTCTGCGGGCTATACAAGCATGGCACCAGCAGCTGCTCAGCTTCTGGTGAGGCTTCAGGAAGCTTTTAGTCATGGTGAAGCGTGAAGGGGGAACTGGAGCATCACATGAGGAGAGAGGGAACAAGAGAGAGATGCCAGGTTCTTTTAAACAACCAGCTGTCATGTGAGCTCATTACATAGGGAAGGCACCAAGGCACTCATGAGAGATCCGCCCCCATGACCAAACACCTCCCACTAGGCCCACCTTCAACACCGAGGATCACATTTCAACATGACATTTGGAGGAGACAAACACTGAAATCATGTCAGAGGATAAAGGTGACATTGACAATAGCAGTTTGTATGGTATGCTGGGAATGAAAGCCAGATTGGAGAAGGCTCAAGAAACAAATGGGAAGGGAGGACACCGAGACAGTGTGTTTAGACCAGTGTTTCTCACTTTTTCATGATCACCTCCTTAAAGAGCTTTCTTAGACATTTTTTTCTAATCCTCCCCTCTCCATGAAATTCCAGTATCACAGGTATACTTTTGTTATGTATTGTATATATATATCTATGCCTTACATATACAAAGAGCAAGTAATTTTTGCCTGAAAGAATTAATTTTTGACCTTCTGGAGTGATATCACTCCTATTGAGAATGGCACGGAATAGACAATTTTTTAGATGAGCTTTTCTGTGAAGCAGGGCAAATAATTAGGCTGTTAGAAGATGAGGTTGGATCAAGTTTTTATTGTATTGTATTGTATTTTTAAGATAGGATACATTATAATATGTTTAGGTGCTGATGGAAACAATCTAGTAGAAAGGGGAAAATTGATTATGTAGGAGCAAGATTGAACAGTTACAGAAGTCATGGTCTTGAATAAGAGACAGAGGATGGGCCTCAGATGGGAACCAGACAGTTCTCCCAAAATAATACACAAAGGAGGGCAGAGCACATCAACACAGATAGATGATACTTTTGGAGGTGAGGGCCTGTGGAAGTCCTCTTCTGCTTGATTTGTTTTCCCAGAGAAACAAGAAGCAAGATCATCAGCTGAGATTGAAGAGGGGCTGAAGACGTTGAAGATTTGTAGAGAGAGGGGAAGTGTTCTGTGGTCATGTAGTGGGGGTGAATTGAGTAGAATATAGTAGGATAGCTAGGCAGCACTAAGACTCAATTCAAATTAGTGATCATAAGTTTAAACTGCAATCAGTCAATATTTTTCCCCTCCACGACTTGATCTTCTCTAAGCACATTACATACTTTAAATATTTGAGTGAATGAATAAATGAATCAAAAAGTTAGTTAATGCTATTTACGCTGCATACATGTAAGATTTTTTCCATTTACTATTTATATGTTTTCAATTGGAATGTTTTATACAACAAATGTTAAAATTAAGGACTTCAAATAAGAACATAGAATAACATGCCCAAGTTCAGCTTTTTTTTTTTGGATCAAACTAATTAAAATCAACAATGATTTCAACAATGATTCAGTGCCTTTTTTCTTTTGGTTGGTGATGTTGCTCATTGTGGGCGAAGTATGTAAAACTGACAACTAATTTTGAATCTTTCCATATATATTTTTATAAAAAAAGGAAACTAAAAGTAAATGGTAGTTTCTTTCAGGATGTGGTGTTCATTCTTTAGAAATTGTGAACTCTGCTTAAAACATTTATGTATCCATTTATTTTTTCAATAAATATTTTCTTAGGATCTCTTCTCTTACCAGTCACAGAAAAGACAAAACTGAATAAAGCATGATTTCTACCTTGAAGTATATTATAGGCATCTGGATGTTTTTCTAGTTTTTAGACGAGGTGGGTATATGTTTCTTTAGCGTACATAGAGGTAGACTTGAACTAATATATTTAAAGAACCAGGCTTCTATGTGGTACAATGTAGAATTAGCATTAATAAAGACGGAATGTTACGAAATTCATAAAAGAAAAAATTCAAACACATTAGTAAATTTAGTGCATTATATATAAAATCTTAATGGTAGGGTCTCTGCTCCTTTACTAGGAAGCAGTGTGCTCATGGAGACTGTGCTTTGTCATGACTACAATTGTGTACTATATAAAATCTTAATGAGAGATTACCATTAGATTCTTAAGATTGTTATACTTCTCTTTTTCAAGACCATTTGGTGGTTTTGAGAAGTTAAGAGCTTTATAAGCCTGACAGTACTTGTGATTCAACCTTCTATTGAGGCCAAGTGGGGACCTGGAACTCTCAGACTGCAGGACACACAGATGAACAGCATGTGGCAGTGTTTAAATGTTCTTCTGAAAGCCAATGCCACAGGCTTAAGACAATTTAGGGCAGTTCTCTGTGATGATTGCAAATGCATCCCAGGATTATATTTTTCTTTTATATTGCTATGTGTCATGCTTTGTTTGCCAAACAGAAAGAAAATGAATAGGCAGTTTTCTGGTGCAATTCTTAGTAAACAAATTGTCAAAATGAACTCCATCCATTGCTTAAGAAATACATAAACACAATTTAGTCACTGGATGTGTCTGTATGTAGGTTGTTCCTATGGAGAATTTTAGTTTGACCCATGTTTTTGTTTGTCTTTTTGAAAATTCTGATAGACTAAGGTTCTCTTTGTTTTCATAATAGTCCCTATTCCCCCTAAAATAGTAAGCTATCAAATTACCGAGGTTTTATTTGTATAAATGTAGTTGCACATATCTAACTTAATAAATTGTGAATTGATTTTTATCATGACTTTAAGTCATAGGTATTATTTGAATGAAAGAAAACTAAGCTGTTGGGTTATTTTTACAACGTTCATAGAGAATTTTCTTTCATGTAGATTTTTTCCATATAGCATATACAATAGAATACATTTTAAGCTATTCCCTATATATGTGTGTGTATATGTGTGTCTGTGTGTATAGTGTGTATGTATCCTCATCATAGTCCTTCACATTTTAAGATGATAGCACTCAGTGATTGAAATCTTTATATAATAATATAATTGAGGAAAAATCTGTGAACACAATTGTCATTATCAGACAATAGATTTATAAAATATTTTAATCAGTAACTGTTGTCCTTAAGCATGAATATCCTTACTACTCTTCTACCTTTTACATTTGCTGTTATCGCAAACACTTTGCTTAGAGCAAATGTGATTCCTTATTGCCCAAATGCTTATTGCATTCCAATTTATTATAATACACATACATCTGTTCAGCACTCACTGTGTTCCTGGAATTGTCCCAGAGTCTGGGCTTCCATCCTTTAATGAGACCTAGCCTAGTTCTTAAGGAGCTCACAGTGGGAAGACATGTCTGTTGCACTTATCTTCTAGTTGCTTCTGAGCTTCCCTGCTTTGTTTACAGGTTGGCTTTAGGGCAGCCTCTGCTCATTTCTTCTGCCTTTCTTACCAGTTCTGGCTCTGCTGCTTGTTAGCTGTGTGACCTTGGGGACAGTTACTTGATCTCTCTGAGTCTCTGATTCCTCTTCTGTGTAATGAAGTGATAAGTCCTACCTCATGAGGGCATTTGGGAAGATTAATAAATAAGATAATGTGTTAAAGCATCTAGTAAATTGCTGGCATATGCTAAGTGGTCAATGAAAGAAACTGCTGCTGCCATTTGACTTGTGTTCGTTATGTGCCTGGCACTCAATTGCTAAGAAACAAACTTTAGTTCGTTTTCATTCCCTTGCTGCTGCACTTTCTTCAAACACATCGTCAGATGGGAATTTAGAACTAGAGTAAATAACAATAGCTCCAACTTATGAGTACCCATTATGTGCTAGATATTTTACTGGTTGGTAACAATTCTTAAAACAACCCAGCGTTGTTATTATCCCCACCATATAGAGCAAGATGGGAGAGATAAAAGTGACCTTCTAACCCTGCAAAACTACCCACCAGAAGAGCCAAAATACTGACTACAAAGCTTGTGTTCTTCTTCTTTTTTTTTTTGCAACCAGTCATTTTCTCCAGTCTCTTCCAATTCTAAAATATTTTAAAGATTTTTTGAAAAATTCATGTGTATTATGATCACAAGCACTAGATGTTTTCATTTGAGCACAAACTCCAAAGTAGGAGCAGTAGAAGTTTTCACTTGAGCACCAATTCAAATCCATATGCCCAATGATGTCATTAACAAGTTAAAAATACAGAAATACGCATTTTCATAAATAAGTGTGACTATTAGTCCATGGACAGGCCGAAGTTCCCTAAATAGTTCTCAGATCTTGCCATCCACATTAGTTGATTTTTCTGTATCAGCTGAAAGCAGAATTCTTTTTAAAGGGGGAAGCAGTGGTTTCTTTCTTTAGACTTTTGAAAATATTAAAAAATTTTAGATAAAATTGACCATTTTGATTTTTAATAAGAGGTTTGTTTTGATATTTTAACTTTAGACATATGAGGCAAATTTTGAAAACCTATGCTGGCTTCAGTAAAGTAGTTTTTTGGCTTTTCTTCTATATCTTGGCCTGGGTGGCCTGGGGACATCAGGCACGAAGAAGAGACGGCGCAGTTAAGGAGGTGGACAGCTGATCCATGTGGTTCACTTGATGAGCCATGCCTTCTGGGTTTAATATAGCAAGAGTTCCTGATTTGAGAAAGGGGAATTTGCGGGTGTGTATTTTCTTTGGAAAAACTGAACAAACTATAAAATTGAATCAGAATAATTATAGTTCTATATAGAATCCTAAATATCAGCCTCTAAATGGTTACCTCGGGCAAATGCCAATCTATCTGGACTTCATCTTTCTCCTCTGTAAAATGAGACCATTGAACCCTAGATCTCTAAGATCCCTTCTCAATCTAAATCCAATCTAAAATGATTCTCTGAAGAGGCAGGCATATGTGTGTGTGTAATTGCTGTTTGAAGTGTGAATTAGTTAAACACAAATTCATAGGATGTAGATATCAGAAAATGTGTTTATAAAATGTTAATGTGGGTGAGTGAGAGAGAAATATTTTATTGTTGTTTATAAACACCTTAGTTAACACATTTACACCTTTGCTGAATACATTAGATTTTGGGGGAGGAAACAAAAAGGCTTATATTCAAACCAGGATCCAATTGGATTTTAAAAAATGGTTAGTTTATTTGTCTTTTTCAACCACTGAATTTGAGTTTCTTGAGTCTTTCTCTATCTCTACCACTTTGTACTTCCCCAAGTAAATATTTCTTAAATGAATGAATTATTAATTGAATGACAAAATCCCCGTTGTACTTGATTAAATATTGCAGACAAATAGGAGAAAATTAGATTCCCTCAATTTGTACTCTTCTGTGGCCTCAACTATTCCATCACCTAATATCTACATAAGTTACATTGAAGGAAAAAAAATCAGTTACCAAAGGAAAACAAATTCCTTTTATCCTGTCCCTTCACTGACCTTTCATTAAGAAAAGTAAACTATAATATCTTTAATGTCTAGCAGAATGATTCTTTGAAGTTTTATAAACATAAATAATCTTTATTTCTGGTAAGCAGTTTTATTTACACAATAAAACTACTGAATGAAATATAGTAGAAATTTGGATAGGACTTTTCTCCTGGTTTGTTTTAAAAAGGCATACATAAAGTAACAAGAAAACATAGCAACAACCCCCCAAAACTTTAGAGATTGTATGTGTATGTGTGAGTGTGGGTGTTGTCTTGGAAGAGGAATGGGATTTTAGTTATTTGTACATTCTGTGAAGCAAATCATGAGTTTAGTATTAAGTGGAGCAATACATTTCAACATTAGTTGTTTTAAATCTAATAATATTTTATACATGGAGAAGTTTTAAAAAACAGATTTCAATTTGTGAATATATAACAAATTAAACAACTTCTTTTTCTGGGCCTCAACCTCCTTAACTATAACTCAGAGGACTAGGATAAATGATGTTGCAGATTTCTTTTAGCACCAAGCATTTGCTGATAGTGTAAATTAACTGATCAGTCGGCTGTAATACTGGCTTTATAGTTTTACTCTAGTGTGGCATTCTTCTACTTTAAATTCATCTCCCTGACACTGCTTTTTTACCGTGTTCTATTCATCTCATCTAGAAAAGAATTTATTTATTTATTTTTAGAAACAGGGTCTTACTGTGTCACCCAAGCTAGAGTGTAGTAGCACAATCATAGCTCACTGGGGCCCTGAACCCCTGGGCTTAATTGATCCTCCTGCTTCAGCCTCCCGAGTAGCTGGGACTATAGGTGCATACCACCACGCCTGACAACTTGTTTTTTTTTTTTTTAATTTTTTGTAGGGACAGGGTTTTGCTGTGTTGCCCAGGCAGGTCTCAAACTCTTGGCCTCAAGTGATCCCCCTTCCTTGGCCTCCCAAAGTGCTAGAATTGCAGGCATGAGCCACCATAAAATATTTTTTTTTTAGTTTTACTTTTTGTAGTTTACTTTATGAAAGAATTAAAAATAGGAAGCAAATTGGACATTTTAAAAATAATATTTTTACATGTATTGGCAAAATTTTTGTATTTTGAAATGTGGAACCAAGTTTTAGGAGATGAGACAGTATAGCACTACAACTATATGACAAAAGCTGTAGCTTGTTCCTGTGACCCAATAGTCCTTGAGGCATTCAAAGGGATTTTTCACATTGAATACCATCTGTTACTTTCTATCCATTCAGTCCTGCCAGTATCACTCCACCAAATGTGAAATAAGAGACATTACCTAAGCTGTTATGCTATAAATCCATGTGTATCAGCCCACTCTCCTTATTAATGCCTCTGTGTCAGCATATCTAAATTCATGTTGATACTGTTATAATGTGACAGTTTTGTATGTATGCTTTATTTTTATTTTTTGCAAGATACAGATTTATTCAGAATTATAGAATTATGGAAAACTATAATATACTCTATTATACATAGGGCTACATATATGTACACACAAATATATGGCCATATATATTTAATATATATGTATTAAATATAATATATATTATATATAAATGTATATATGTATTAAATATTATATATATATATATGTATATTTTGAGACAGAGTCTCGCTTCGTCACCCAGGCTGGAGTGCAGTGTTGTGATCTAGGTTCACTGCAACCTCCGCCTCTCGGGTTCAAGCAATTCTTGTGTCTCAGCCTCCCTAGTGGCTGAGATTACAGGCGCCCACCACCATGCCTGGCTAATTTTTGTATTTTTAGTAGAGATAGGGTTTTGCTTTATTGGCCAGCGGGTCTTGAACTCCTGACCTCAAGTGATCCACCCATCTCAGCCTCCCAAAGTGCTGGGATTACAGGAAAACTGTATTTTTACATATGATTCTATTATTTGACAGTTTATAAGTCACTTGCCCTATTTAATTTTATTTTCTTTTTTCTTTTCTTTTTTTTTTTTTTTTTTTTTTTTTTTTTTTTGAGACGGAGTCTTGCTCTGTCGCCCAGGCTGGAGTGCAATGGCGTGATCTCGGCTCACTGCAACCTCCGCCTCCCGGGTTCAAGCAATTCTCCTGCCTCAGCCTCCGGAGTAGCTGGGACTACAGGCACACGCCACCATGCCCAGCTAATTTTTTGTATTTTAGTAGAGATGGGGTTTCACCGCGTTCCCCAGGCTAGTTGCGAACTCCTGAGCTCAGGCACCCTCCCCGCCTCAGCCTCCCAAAGTGCTGGGATTACAGGCGTGAGCCACTGTGCCCAGCCTTGTTTTCTTTTTGTATTCCACTCCTTCAATGTAGATTCTTTTTCTTTGTTTATTAATTTATTTTTAATTGACAAATAATAATTGTGTATTTTTATGGGGTACAATGTGATGTTTTGATCTATGTATGCATTGCAGAAAGATTCATTCAAGCCAATCAACATGTCTATAAACACCAATTTATCATTATTTTGTGGTGAGTACATTAAAAATTTATTCTTTTAGCAATTTTGAAATACATAATACATTATTATTAACTATGATCCCCATGCAATGCAACAGATCACTAAAACTTCTAAGAACTTTTGAACAATTCACTTGGAAATGTTTAGGGACTCATTTAAGCATAGACATTTTAGTGCTATGCTTATAATTCTCTTTATGTCTAGAGAAAAAGGTTTGTCCCTTCAAAGAAGATTTATATCCTACCCATAACTAGAAAAACCAAAATTTCTCTAAAGTTTCAAAATGCTGACATTTTGGAAATATATTTACTTTAACCCAGATATAGTCTATTTTATCTGTATTTCTCTTAGCATGTTGCAAAGATATGTATATTAGTAGATTTTGTAAAACCTTACTAGTTTAGAATATTTGAAGAAATACTTGCTTTTCAAATTTGCAAAGTTCAAAATGGCATACCAGGGCTAACATGCATGTGCCAGGACAGGCAGATGGATGCACTTGCACACATGTTTCCACTTTGAGCCCAGTGATCATGGACTTCAAGTGTGTTCTTTGGGTTAGTGCTATCATGAATCAATGTGAAAAGAGGGAAAATAACTTAAAAGTAAATAAGAAAAGGAAGACTTGAACTCAGAACCTGACATCTCTGAAGATTATCGCAAGGTGTTGATATCTCCTTTAGGATCACTGCTTCAGAATAATGAAATGAAAAAGCTCACGCTCCTGTTCAACCTTTCATTCCCAAACAATAAAGCACACAGGCACATACTATCAATTTAGCCCACTAAATATTTTAGATATCTGCTTTGGATGCATCATAGTCTTTCTATAATGTTTTCCCCTGTCATTCACATGGTACAGTCTTCTGTCTAACCATTTTTTTTTTTTTTTGGTTTCATGGTAAGAAATCAATTTTGGACTTGCAACGTCTGGCTGCCTTTGAAGTAGTATTGTTGAATTTTCTAACACTTATTATCCAGAAATTTTATCTAGCCCATTCAATAATAAGTTTATGGCTAGTTGGCAAAGATTTTAACATTTCTTGCCTGGATTATTTCTTGTTTAATTATTGACATATGACACAAGTTTTGTGAACCATGAATGAGATTACAAAATTTCTATTTTTCCCTCACACGAAGCCAACAATCTGGACTAGATTTTACCATTGTCATTATCGGAAGTTTCTCCAGTGATAATGTTTTCATTGGCTTATTCATTGTTTCTAATATGAAAATAGGAAAAAAACTCAAAATGTCTATTAGCAATAAGCACAAAGGGCAAAACTTAATTCTCTGACTTAATTCTCAAAGTTAACATAAATCAGGGAACTCTTTGTATTAACTTTTCAGAGTTTTTAAGAGTCACCATTATTTATTTTACAATTTTATATTTTTCATTTCTGGTTCAAGCAGATGGAAAGATCAGCAAATCATTTTTTCTTTTTATAATAATATAAAATGTTCTGAATGGACAAGAGTGCCACAATACTCTTACATTTACAAAATGACTTTATAATCAGATAGATATAAATGATTGAATATGGAGCTATATATATTTATATGAATAAACCAAGGGAACTCAAACATACTTATGATACTTAAAGAATTATATAGTTTTAAATTTTTAATTTTAACTTATAAGAGTAATTGCAGTTTTTCTGCCATTAAAAATGTAATATTGAAAATATTCTATATTCCTCATAATTACCTCTTAATGGCACTGTACTTGTCATATATATATTTTTCTCAATATCCCTCCCCCCTACCAGTTTAGGGCACTTAATTTCACATGGCCCTTCACATAATTTTTAATTTAATAATTATTTATTGAATGAATGAATGGTGACTCAGATTTTCTTAGCTAATTGTTATCATTCATTAGTGCTATTGATAAAATATGTGTTTACTTAGAATTTCCATTTAAAGTATATACATTTGGATATTTTTACCTGAAACAGCCAAGTCTGGCATTATGTTTTTACTTAGATATATACATAGATATGGCAGAAACCAATGAAAAATTATCTTTTGAGATAATGTAGTTCCTGAGAACTAAACTGTCAACCCTTTAACATAATAGCAGTATAATGCTGAATTATACTCTTCAATTTATTTTGACTCTGTATTGTTACTGATATGGTTTGGCTGTGTCCCCACCCAGTTCTCCAATTGAATTTAACTCACATAATCCCCACGTGTCATGGGAGGGACCCAGTGGGAGGTAACTGAATCATGGGGGCAGGTTTTTCCCGTGCTGTACTTGTGATAGTGAATAAGTCTTGTGAGATCTGATGGTTTTGTAAAGGGCAGTTGTACATATGCTGTCTTGCCTGCCACCACGTAAGTCATGCCTTTGCTCTTTCTTTGTCTTCCACCGTGATTGTGAGGCCTTTCCAGCATGTGGAACTGTGAGTCCATTAAACCTCTTTTTCTTTATAAATTACCCAGTCTTGGGTGTTTCTTCATAGCAGTATGAGAATGGACTAATACAGTTACTTTTTCTTTTTTATTAGTCTTTCTCTGTTTATTATATTTTTGGTCTGTATTCTAGAAAAGGGAAGATAAAACTTCCAAGATAAGATAAGGGAAAATCTTAGTAGTTTACTACATTGAAAATACAGATTGTAGTGCTAAATGCCTGAAAATTAATGATCTTAGAAGAATCGCTCCAGCTAAGAAGGGGGCTTCTAGAGTAAGAAAAGCAAAGGGACATTATGAGACAAGCTGCTAATGTAAGACACCCAAAAAGCAGAGGTATCCAGGATAACACACCCTGGAGTGTATTTGTCTTTATCAAATAGCTACCAAATGTGATTATCCCAGCGGTACATGGGTTTTATGGTAGACACACTAATTCTGCATTCTACACTGTACAACAAAAATGGTATATACCATCTTTCAAACTTTTAGTTGAAAAAAATCAAACTCAAAACAAACCTTTATCTGCTATATGAAAGCATCCTTTCCATAGTCATATTTCCCACCAAAGCCATGAAAGAAGACTGAAATTCAGTGTTCATCTAAATACATTTAAGGAATTGAAGTTGTGTCTCCTAGAGTGGCTATATACCATTCAGGTACCCATATTTGTTTGTAATTTCAAAACCAAAGAATGCAACATGTCCGTTCTTCTCAGAGTTGCTTACCCACAGGCCACACTTGACATTTTAAGTCGAAGTCATTTTTGGATTATCTGAATGCAGGGAGAACTCTGGAAAAGATTCTTGTGAGTCAAAACTTTTAGTTTGATAGCCAAATAATTAGACCTACTTTATTAAGTTTTTCTCTACCCAAATTTCACCAGACTTTTATCTAATTGTATTATGAATGTAGTAAGAAGAAATGGGACAAAACAGAAATATAAAAGAGAAGATTGACAAATATCAGTGCCTCACTCTGGTAGAAACTGGCAGTAGAAACAAATGAGGAAGAGTGCATTTATCTCTGCCACAGACCAGTCATATAGGGAAAAACTATGCAGATGTTTATCATTCCTTATTCCACCAGGTACTTTTAAATGAGGCAATCTTAGAAGTATGTAGAGAAATTCTCTCTCTCTGAATGAAAAGGAGAAAGGAGTAACAAAAAGAATAGCTAACAGTTAAACAGTGCTTACTATCCACCAGATCCTCTTCAAGGTGTTTTAAATATATTAGCTAATTTAATTCTTGTACTAGTCCTCACATTATAATCCCATTTACCTGATGAACTTAAGTATGGAAAAGGTAAGTAGCTTGCCCAAAGTCACAGAGCTTATAAGTGACTGAGCCTGAGCGAGGGTTCCTTCCTAGGCCATCTGGCTCTACAGACCTAAACTGCTGTGCCTTGGATTTTTCAGACTTAACAGAAAATAGATTTTCTATTTTGAATATAGTGTTTTCTCTGTAGTCAGATTACTAAGATCTCACAATTCTATCCAAAACCCTTATGCTGTCTCAAACAAAGCAAATAATATATATTTTATTTGAGGATTCAAATCTCAAGACCTATTTTACAAACTGGTTTTTAGTGACTAACTTGTAGGAACCCACTGGTCAAAGATGCCCTCTGTTGTCATTTTAATGCATTCAGAATCTTTGCATTTGGCATGTCTTGCATTTTATTATGGTTGATTTTATTTTGAGACATACGAAGTTTTTTTGTGTGTACTTAGTACCTTTTAATGGATTGTTTCTGTTAAATAATTGTCTTTGTGTATTTTAGGTTTGCTCTTCCTGAAACATTTTCTTGAAACTTTAATTCATTTCCTATGTGTCTTTTTTAATCAGATTAAACTTTCACAACTAGACAGCCCATTGGTTCATCTAAATTGTAAAACATATAACAAGAAAATATAAAGTAGCAGTTAAGAAGTTACTGAAAAAGATGGGGGAATTGCTTGATAACCAATTTTAGAACTTTAAAAAATATTGGAGCAAATTTCTTTGTATGTTGGTGTTTGGTTGTTCCTGACAGTTATCACTGCCTCAACTTTCTCCTTCACAAACAGGCAGAACCTAGGATGGGAACACTGGGAGCTGTGGATGAAAATGGGGGCTGGGGAGAGGATGGAGTCATAGTGCGGCAGAGGAAAGAGGCTGGCAGCAATATCAGATCAGCAAATAGCATGAGGAATTAGGCTGGAAACTACTGAGCAGAAAGGATTCTGTAGTAATCCTTTAAGATTTGAGGCTTGAGAACAAGGGGAAAGAGTAGAAAGGTGGGAATGCATAGGTTGAGGTCAATTTAAATAAGCCCACCTCTTTTTAAAGCATACTGAAAAACAAAAACAAAAACTCCTCATGGAGTTGTCTGTGTTACCAACTAGAGGTTGCCTCAGTTTACTGGTAACTTTGTCCTCATTGTTGTGTGTTAGGAAAATAATGGTTTTAAATCATTCAAGGAAAATACACTTGTATGTCTCATGAGAACCTGGAGCATTTTTTATTATATTTTGTGATTACAGTTGGAGATGCTGCTTATCTTATTTCTTGTAAAACTCGGAGGGAAGGCTTCCAAGTGCTTTACTGCTCTAGGGGCCCTTTGTAATCAAATATGCTTCTTCAGCAGTAATTTTAGCATCTATTATCGGTGCTTCAGCCCTGGCAGTTCGGCAGCCTTGCAGCTTTGACATCACTTGTGGTTTGCAGAAGATCATGCAGTGCTGTCTAGTGCTCCTGATAATAGTTTCTAAATGCTTAGCTGATTTATACTGACTGGAATTGTCCCATCTCTTCCTAGCAATCGAATCTGGCAAATTAATCATTTAACCTTTTCTGTGACATGGACAAGCCTCACTGTGAGGTCACCAGTGTCACACCAAGTATGGCTGCCCATTGACAGAAAAAGTTTGTGCTGGAATTGTGAATGTGCTCCCCCATCTAGAAGATGTACACGTTGTCTTTTTAGATAAAACAAAGACAAACAAGGGTATATTTTTTCAAGTGCACTTAATGAGAGTACAACAGAACCAAAAAGGGAAATCTGTGCTTCTCATTCCCAGTCACGTGCTGACTCCCTGGACTTCATTCTTTTTTCACCAAAACTCCTGTGCACGCAGCATGGAGTAATCATGCTTGAATCTAGCCTCACAGTCAGGCCCTCAGAGCTGATTCTGAGATGTGAGGTTCAACGATTTAGAGAGGGGCCTGGATTATTCTGATATGATAGCTTTTCATTCACTATAACTTGAAGTTTTTATATCACAGGGATCTATCTTAAAACAAGAGATATAATTAAACAGAAACTCAGTGGAAAGGGGCTCTTACAGTCATATAACTGGTCCTCCAAGGAAAATGCAAAGGCGTCTTTTATCTCTCTCCTTCTCCCCCAGAAATACCTCATCATGTCCTTGGCCTGTGCTGTGGAGGGTTCCATTTAATATCCTCATCTTTCCCAGCTCCCTAGTTCCTCATGCCCTATGCTCACCAGACAGACACATCACCTTCCTAGGCTCCCTCCACTATAAAGAACCCTCAAATAAACTTCAAAGGCAGGAAGTCCTTGTTTGTATCCTACACTGACCCAGAGGGGCACAACCAGGATATTTCTCTTTGCCTCAAGGGTCAATTTGACCCAGACCCAGACAAGAATACATATATTCCAATTTTAAGGCTAAAGAAGGAGCCATTGGTAGAGTCAACTGTCTTCTACAGCTAAAGAAGTTACGATTATTTTCTTTTGAAAACATAATCTTTTCACCCTGATTTCCTGATTCTTAGTACAATGTGTTCTCAAGACTAATTCTTGGAACAGTCTAGAGAGGTTCATGTGCTTCTTATTTTGTTGCTACTTGTCAAAGGCCAAAGGGGTTGAATGTGTCAGACACTGTAGGTCATTTGCATAACATACTACGTATTAATAAAAAAGGATATGTGGATATTCAAGAGTATGTTTGATCCTGTTTCAGCATTTAATTTCAGATCATGGCCAAGTATCTGTTTTCATTGTGAAAAGCCAGGATCTGCCAAAATCAACATGAAGTAAATGACTTACATAGTAGTGAAAAGGAGTTAAGACACGTACACAGATATGTCGTTCCTTTCGATCGTTATCTAAATAGTGTTGTTTAGACAAAAGTATTAAACTTGTCATTGGAACTTAGAAAACTTTTAAAGAATTCAGTTTTTATATTGATTTATGTTCCATTCTGAAACTGCTCATAAAGTTTAAATCTTTCCTTTCTATATAACAGAAATGGTCAGGCTGCATTTTTAACAGAGACTTCTCAAGGGTGAGAACTGGTAGAAGTTGACATTTTTTACATAAACCATATTTTAGAATTTTAGTTTCAAGCTAGTTAAGAAATGTACTTTTTTTTTTTTTTTGGCAGTAAGGAGGGACTTATGATGACCATAATATAACAAAATGTGACTCTGATCATGGTGACATCGAAACCTGGAGTTTCCACAACTCAGTTTTTGATTGAGGGTAGCAAATTATCTTTCTTTGTAGTAAATTATGATACACATTGCCTAATCTAGATTTGATGTGTGAAAAAATATGCTACTATATGTGGCATGCCTGTAAAGTAATGAGGCTTGGTTTTTAAATTATTTATAATTTCTTAAAAATGTATGTTGTCCTTGAGAGAGTTTCTCTGGAAAAGTACACTTATTCCACAATTCTTTAAAAAGATTATTTGACATTTATTACAAATGTAAGAATAGATTTGGGAACTTGAAGCCACTCTGGAAAAATTCTTCAAATTGCTGTTGTAGCCACACATTCTTTGTGATACACACCTACTTCACTTGTCATGGCCTGAATAATTATTGACTCTTCCAGAACTATTTTGCACTTTCAAAGGGAAAATATTTGCTTTGCTTTCAGATAGTCAACCGATTAAGCTGCATTCTCTAAAAGTAATTCCAGAAGGGGACTTTCAAAATAGTTATAATAGTAACAACTTGGGTAAAATAGTAACACTTTTGAAATAGCATAATCATCTGGATGTGTTAATTATTACCTTTGTTGAAAAATTATAATACTTTTATAGTCACATCTCCAAGGGTGAAGTAGTGGATGCCTTGTTTTACTTTAAGAAAGTTTTACTTTTTTACAGCTGAATACAGTTGCTGTTCTAATAGCTTATGAAATGCTTGTCTTTGGCCTTTGGAGGAATACGTGATCTTGTAATTTTGCATGATAGCGTAGCATATTGCAGTTGTTCCACAGGCATTTTTAGAAACTATATCCTTTAGTTATAAAAATGTGTTAACAAGGTCACAAAATAGAAAATACATACATTTCGAAAACCAGAGAATTATTTGAGATACTTTTTACCACAATATAACTTTTATATTTGAATTATATTGCCATTATTTTGGTGAAGGTGGTATCTAACTCAACTTTTGTTAGTTTACGGGCTGTAGTATTAAAGTGATAGCATAGTATCTTGTATGTAGACTGTGGTGAAAAATCTATTGATGGAACAAATAAAGGTGAATATTGAAAAATTAGATCATGAATGATATTTGATAAATTATCTTGATGGATATTTAAAAATAAATACAGATTGACTTGTATAAATGTTTCTTTTATGTGATTTCACTTTAATATGTTATATTGACTCTAAAATCATGAACCTGAAATCAGACTCAAGAAAGTATTAGATATCCCATGTTAAAAAGTAAGTTAGATATTTACAGAGATTGATTCATAACACAGATGTACTGAGGGATAACTGTGGTTCCAGAGGCTGCATGAGATGCTATGGATAAATATGTGGTGGAAAAATAGGTAGCATCCTTGCTATATGGAGCTCATACTCAAGTGACTATGGGGCTACCAAGAAAATAGGCCAAACTGGGAGCCTCTGTAGCAGCTTGGTGTCCCATGGAAAAGTTTAATGCCAAGTATCTGGGTTCTGTTCTTTAAAGTGTGACGAATTTGTATTCTGTCTCTAAAATGCTTCTGGATTAAAATTTATGCTATTATTTTCTGCATTCTCCTTTGTCATCTTAATTGATCTAGTTCTACCCCTCCAATTTTTAGTATTTTCAATATGTGATATTATATGTGCATACTATATGTGAAAGTAACTTGTAAACTGTAAACATTTTAAACTGTAAAGCAGTGTTGTTATTCAACAAGAAGATATATGCACACAAAGTACAATGTAGACTTGCCTAGTTATGCAGATAATAAAACTGCTATTCTGAAGGTCTTTTATTCTCCCTCTCTAAAATTGCCTGAATTTGCGGATTAATTTATCCATTGTCCATCTTCCTTAGTCTTTTAGAAACAGTTTCCAAATCTCTTAAAACTACAGTTTATGTTCACTATGATTTAGAGATTATGTTTTCTGGTGGGCACAGAATGTGTCACCCCATTAAAGAGGGACTCTTAATATTGTTTATGGAAGCAGAAAACAAAATGAAGTCATAAATCTGGGAGACACCCTATTTGGCCACCTCCTGTTGGGGAGAAGTGATTCCAAATAATTAAATGGGGCTAGTAACTTTTACATTAAATGTTTTCCATCAAGTAGATGTTATAACTTCCTTCCGTAGCCCAAGTCAGCAGCCATATACATTTTCTTAAATAAATTTCATAGGGTGGAAAACTGAAAGAAAGGAAATGGTAGAATAAGGTCTAAAACCATCTCCTAAATCTTCCTTAATTTTTCTATTGTTTTCTTATTGCCTTAAATGCCTCAATCCATAATTAGGCCCTCATAAGATTAAACTGCAATGGAACATGCTGAAAACTTACTAAGAAAAGAAAAATAAAATCAGATTTCACTGGTATTATCACTAGGAATTAAGGAGTATTTTATTATTTCTTTCAAGTTTTACTTTTACGCTTTTCTGGAAGAATCTCTGAAGACAGGCATTGCAAGAGATTTTGAGGGGAGATAAATGGTGATCAGATACAACAGTGGCAGAAATGTCTTTTCTAAGGGTTAATGAGGTCACATTGTTTGTTGTATTTTTTGAAGTCTTAGAATACTTGTGGATTTGATTCTGACGACAAAGTGCAGCTGTTCTGGTCATCTCTTCTAAATAAGGTTCTTTCTTAGCACATGCATTTCAAAATCAGGGAACTTCTGGGCTAAGAGTCAATCTTCCCTTATGTGCATGCCAGACACTTTCATGTATTTGTGGGAGTCACAGGTTAATCTCCAAAGAAAGATTGCTTTCATTCGGAATCACAAATGAGTAAATAAAGACCCTGTCTGGCTCTCTACATCTGAGGCTTGTTTTGAATTTGTGTACAAATTATTTCCACATAATTGTGCTGCATTAACCATCTCTGAACATTAATTATATTTTTCCACTGCTGAAACTCTCAAGTGATTTCACAAGTACAAAAAGTTTGTAAGAGGCATTATTCTTTTTTTCTCCAAGTTCCCCTGGGGAACCCTGATTTGGAGAGAATTGCCTGCAAACTTATCATCATCAATACTATCTTTTTCATTGTCTTTAAAAAACTTTTTATTCAAATATAATATCCATATAGAAAAGCACAACCATATTAAGTACACATCTTGATGAATTTTTACAAATTGAACAAAAATCCATATAGTCAGCACCCTAATCAAGAAATAAAACACATTAGCACTTGAGAAGCCCCCCTTAGCTCCCTTCCAGCCCCTAACTCTCCCATTCTCCCACCCTGAGTGGCTAGCCATTACCCAGACTTCTGACAGCATAGATTGTTTTTTTTGCCTGTTTTTGTGCTTCATTTAAATGAAATCAAACAGTGTGTACTCTTATATGTTTAGTTTCTCCCACTCAGCATTATTTCTGAGTAATCTCTTAATGTTACACGTAGTTAGAAATGGTTCATTCTTACTGCTGTGCAGTACCACATGGTATGAACCTAGCATATGTTATCCATTTCACCCTTGGTGGGCATTTGGGTAGTTTTCCAGTCTGTACTATTATAAATAGCGCTCCTGTGAACATTCTTGTACATTTCTCATGTTGAACAATTTGTGTATATTTCTGTTGCATATATACTTGGCTGTAGGAGATTATACATATTTTAATTTTCAGTTTTATTAGTGAAAAACTTATATAACTCAATAACTTCTGATCAGCAGGAATCAACCGGAGTTACTGTATTGAGTTGATAGTAATTTTTTTCTAAAGCATAGAAGCTTAACATTTTAGTTATATTCTTAATTCTTCTTGTGAGTAAAGGTTTGCTTTTTACTAGACATTTAGAAACTCATAAAATAGCTACTGGATTCCTCATTGCTGCCTTCCAAGATCTCTAGAAGTTCAGGAACCCTAGAACCATTGTTAAACATCCATTATTTTCCACATTACTTAATAATCCAGGTTGCTTTTAAAAATTGGTAATATGCTACTCGCTCATTCATTCATTTATTCACTGACATTTGTTGAGAACTCACCTTGAGCAGAGTATACAACAATAAACAAATTGGATAAAGACCAGTGGAAGACAGACAATCAACATATAAACCAATATTGACTGTAATGCCAGGTGTTTTGGATTTAAAACAAAGTAAAGGTAAGGGGAAAGTTGACAGCTTGGTTTTGAGGTAGGGGTGCTGCTGTGAAGGATAGGGTAGTGAAGGATGGTCTCTGAAGAGGTTACTTCTGAGTGGAGACTTGAGGAGGGAGGCCATGTTGCATGGGGGGAAGAATGTCCCAGACAGAGGGAACAAGTGCCAGGGCTCTGAGATAACAGCGTGTGTGGTGTATTTGGGAGTCGGCAAGGAAGCCAGTGTGACGCAGAGCAGGCTGAATGAGGGACAGCGTAGTAGGAGATGATGCTGGTGAGGTAGATAGGAGCTAGAGTATAAAGGATCTTGTAGAACATTATAAGATGAGAAGCCATTAAAGGATTTAAATAATCAAAGTGATGTAATTTGATCTATATTTTAAATGCTCTCTCTGACTGCTATGTGGAGAATAGATTGGTGGTGGGGGAAGGTGGCAAGACTGGAAAGTGCAGGAAGAAGACTGTAGTGATTCAAGCGAGAAATTATGATTGCTTGCGCAAAGGAGAAAGTGGGCTGAGAATTGACGGTTGCTTTTTGTTTTTTAAGGTAGTCTCAGTGGGATGTTCAGATGGACTGGATATTTGGTGTGAGAACAAGGAGCATAAAGATGACTGTAACTATGCTAATACCTTTCCAAACATTAGGTATTTCACATAACACCCCTGTGAGGGAGGTACCACTATTATACCCAGTATATGGCCAAGGAAACAGGCTCAGAGAAGTGAAATCACTTATGTGGTATTGCACCTATTGTTAGGTATCAGAGCCAGGCTTCAAACTCAGGCCTGTCTGATTGGAAAGTCCATGCTCCTTATCACCTCTAGATACCATCTCTCAGATCTCTCAATTCTATTTTATTTTACTGAGATGGAGGATATTTCATCTTCAAAATCTTAGCATTATCTTTTATTCTTCTCTCTACTTTCTCTTTATTTCTTTAATAGCCTTTAAGTCATCTTATTTCTTTGCAGATTTCTTTCTAAGAAAAGGTTCATCTGAGATATGCCATTTCCACTTTCAACCTTCCCTAGAATCCTAGCTGTGGTTCCTCTTGACTTGAGTTACTGAGATAGTTTCTCAACACTTTCTTCTACTCTAGTTTATTATTTCTATCATTTGACTCTTCAAGCACTACTCTCATTTTGTATTTCCCCTGACCCAAACTTCAGCTGTAGGGACTCATTATTGTTTATTTTATCAGTAATGAGTCCTACTACCTAGGTTTTTTTTATCTTTTTTTTTCCAACTTTTAAGTTCAGGGGTACATGTGCAGGATGTGCAGGTTTGTTACGTAGGTAAACGTGTGCCATGGTGGTTTGCTGAACAGATCATCCCATCTCCTAGGTATTAAGCCCAGCATCCATTAACTATTCTTCCTGATGTTCTCCCTCCCCCAACCCCTCCCCCACTACCTGGCTTTTAAAACCTTCTGTATAATAAGTCCTTCTTCCCTCTCCCGTTTCCAACCTATACAACTACTCCCAGACTGCCTTCTTGGTTTCAGTCAACCTGATTTTATCTCTGCTTTGTTCACTACCCTCCTCTCACCACACATACTCACTTATACACATTACACACTTGTGTTTGTTCCATTGTTTGTCTTTAATCCTGTCTCCTCCTAGAATGGGAAAATAACAATACTTACAGTAAGAAATAGCAGTAACCATTTATTGAGAACTATGTGAAAAACACTGTCATGATTTTTAATATTACTTTATTTAATCCTCATGTTATATAGATATTATTGCCCCAATTGATCAAAACTTTTTAATTATGAAATGTTACAAATGTATTTTTAAAAACCCATGAACAATATAACTGACACTCAGGGACCCGTCTCTCATATTTATTTATGTAAAGTATTTGCCATTTTTGCTTTGATTTTTTCTGTCTCCAAGGTTTAGGATTAGGTGACTTGCTCAAGTCACACTGCTACTAAATGACAGTGCTTATATTTGAACCCAGCTGATACCTGACTGTCTGTTAGTGTCCATGTAAATGTCTCCCTCCAACTCCCACATTTCCTATTTATTTCAAGGTCTCATCTCCTCCAGATGATGTTTCCTCACAGGATTCTATCCTGCTTTTGGTCCTTTCTAAGAATACAAGTTGAGATTTATTCATTTAGCCAACAAATATTTATGAAGCCTTTTTAGAGTCCAGGAACTATACTGTTATCTTTTCATGGCTTGTGTAATTCTCAACACAGCCTATGATGGAATTGCTGATACTGATTTCATTGACACAAGAGGAATCCACGGTTTAGAGATTAAACCACTTCTTCAGTACTATTAGGGGTTCAAGCTAGCACCAATCTCAGGTGTATCTGACTCTCAAGCCAATGCTTTTAATAACTTCTAAAATCTTTATTTATTGAAGAATAATTTTTTATTATTTCTTATAATTGTAGTTAGTATGAAATGCCAGCTCAGAGCAATTCCCTATTTCAAGCCTCTGCTGTCTCCTATTTTAAAAGGTGAGGATGTTCATGTCCAGAGGATTTATATGACCAGTATTAGGTCACACAGCTACACAGGGGAGCCAAGGGTAGAACTCTTGCTAAATGTTGCCTAATTCAGGGCTTCTATGTTACATAATGCTGCAGGTCTCCAGTCCATAAAACAAATTTAAACCACTTTTGTTTGTCCTTTGCTAAATCATTCTCTTAAAGGCCATCCCCAGTGACCTCCTCATCATGACATCTAAATTAGCCTATAGTCTGCCTTCCTTGTTTCAGTGCCTTCTTTATAAATTTCTTCTTCCCTTAGCTAATCAGGATTGAAACTCTCCTTGTTCTACTTCTAACTCTAATCACACCTTCTCTTCCTTCTTTGTTAGTTATTTCTTCTCTCTCCTCCTAAAATATAGGCAATTTTCAAGGCTTTGTCTTGGACCTTCGTTTTCGTTGCTCCCTTCATTAGCAATTTCATCTACCCCAAGGCTTTCCGTGCTGAAGATTTCAAATCTTTATTTTTAGACTGATTTCTCCTCCAAGATTTAGACCTAGGGTTTAGACTATTTGTGGGATTCTACTTGTGTATGGTTACTTTAGACATCACTGTCCTCACCAAACCTGTTTCTCTCTTCATGTTCAGTGCAGTGTCACTCCCTGTCTTGTCATTCTGTCTGTCAGAATCCCCTGCTTCCCTTACCTCTTGCCTGCACTTCTATAGAAGCCCTTTAAGGGATCTGCCTATCGTTAGTCAAATCCCACTTCACTCCATCCTCACAACTGAAACTAAAGTACTATTCCTAACAGTACCTTAGGTAATTTTGCTCTCCTGTGCAAATAAACTTTGAGGGGTTCCCCAGTGCTTATGGACTAAAATTGGGTCTTCAAAACCCTTTTAAAAATCTGATTTCAACTGACCTTTAAGGTCAAATCAAAGTATTTCTTTTCTTCTTGACATGTCTATATGTTTCCATTTCTGTATCTTTTTTCTAACACTGTTTTTTTCTTTAGAAAGTATTTCCATGTTTCTGTTAAGACTCAGTTCATCCTTCAAGGCTGCCTCCTTTTATCCTTTTATTCTATCCTCAGCCAAAAGTAATACTTGGTGGTGCTCTTTAACCAATGATGATTTGTACTAAAGAAAAGGCCAAGCTGTGGCCAACATTTCTTAATAAATAAGAATAAGAGAATTGACTGGCACTCTAACTTGAAAAATGAAACTAAAGATTATACATTACAAACATGTTTATTTACTTATAATTAATAAATTTAGGTTGTAATTGAAATTATGTGCTAATTCTTAGAATATACAAAGAGCAATTAAATGTTTATTTTGTTGGGGCACAATTTTCTAACAATTGTATGACAGAATAATTCAATAACATGATTTTGACTTTTGCAGCACCAACATAAATATTTCATGAAAAAGTATTCTAGAAACTCAGTTTTACCTAGAGCACCTTCTTATTATTTCATTTCTTAAAATATCATGTCAGTCCTTAGTCCCTTCTTAAGTTAATTGGTTTTTCTCTTCCAAATCCTTATTTGCATGTGATTTGAGTGGTTCTCTGCCATCTCTATTTTCATTGCCTTTATGTAAATGGGCAGATTTTTCAATATCTATGATTTCCCTTTTCAGAAGATTAGTATTGATACTGTAATTATTAGACAATCTGCAGAACTCTCTGTGATTATCTAACACTTTATCCTTAGGATTTCTATAGAATTTACGATGGTTTAACTGTTTGAGTACATATCTGATCTACCAAGTGTTAAGTTTCTTGAGGCAATAATTATGCTTTATTTTAATTGTACCCTCCACAGAATTTATGTGAATAGCTTATACATAGTAAAAGGTTAATAAGTGTTTGCTAAATTCTATTGTTGATTGGTTCCCAAATGGAACCAATCTTTGCTTTTCATTACATTTCATCATTAGAAACAATATCATAAAACTAGATTATGGAAAAATCAATCATTTATTTTTCCCATAGGAGCAGTATACTAGTAAGTATTTGCATTCCTTATCAGGCTCAATTTTAGATATAACCATTGGAGTATCATAAAAGTTATAATAACTAAAATCTTCTGTGATAACTTAAAGTAATAAAAACATATTCCATATTCTAAGTCTTGTAAAGTGTGCATCAGTGTATTATACACAATGATTGTGTGTATTATATGTATGTAAAATGTAAAGATACAAATTAGATTATGCATTTAACAGAAATGTAAAGGCTGTCGTAAACATGAATTAAGATTCTGACAACAAAAACTCTTCTAAAATTTAGAAGGGACTTTGAAGAATGACTTTAATGACCTAATTCTTTCAAAAGCTTCACTCAACTAAGACTTGAGCTGATACTCCCTTTTACTGCTAAGTAGAGATGGGGGTTGGAGGAAGCAAGCAAGATTAGGTAGTTCTGCCTCATCTAATTGTAGGGATTACTCAATATTTGTTTTTGGAGGGATAATGATTTTGTTTCTGGCCCTAAAGAGCTGATCTAAAATTTTCCTCATTCACTCTCTCCTTTTTCAAGTTAAAGGTATTCAATCTCAGAACAAAGAAATTCTACACCAGAGCAAAAAGTAATGTCAATCTACGTAATATTTAGTCATAAGAATACTTCACAGATCGCTGGAAACCCATAAAAACTATCACTGGGATAGTGGAATGAGCTTTTAAAAGGGAATTTCTGGCAGAAGATGGTGCCCTGACTTAGTATGTGCCATTATATAAAAATTACTGAATGAATAAAGGTGGCAAAAATCCAGAATTGGTGGAAATATGCAGCTATGATTGAGTGGTGCTGAGATCTACAGAGTGGTTTGAGTGGGGAGTGCCTGCATTGCTAACATCTAACCAGGAAAAAAGCACTTTGCCTTCATAACTTGAATGTCCTTGCTCTTTCTATAAAGCTTTTATCTAGACTAAGTGGAATCGTAATGTACCTAATCTAACGGGGGTTTTTCAAATGCTCAAATTCAATTTGGAGTCAAGATAAATGAAAATACATACAACTTATCTAAAAGATGAGTTTAAAAAACATTCCCTTATAGTTGCCTTTTTTTTTTTTTCAGTACTTCAACAAGCCCTTCTGCTTTTATGTTTCTCTTTGTTGCCTAGCAATACCTACAAACTTGTAGGAATATTGATAAAGCAAGGCTGACCTCTGGTGTACTTCTGTATCCTTCCATGTAATCCTGAAAACTAAAATCAGATGTTGTACTCTGTAATGATTGGTTCCTCTACTTATAAATATTGGGACCAGTGGCTTTAGGGACATTCACTGAGAACATTTACTCAGTTTAACTTCTATTAAATAATACTTAATTCAAACTTTTTTTCCTTCCCATCTAGCGTCTTTTATTTTGTAAAGTGAATTATTTTTTATTTATTAAGAAGTGAAATTATGTGCATTTCTGAAAACATTATGTTATCTCATCAGGCTTCTTTGATGATCCTGCCTTGGTGCTCCCTCTTTGTTTCCTGTGGATTTACCTATTCATTTGTTCATTCGTTTGGCATGTATTTATTAGGCGAAAGCTTTTGCTGAGCATGGCATTATATTTAGCCAGAATCAAAGCCATATTTTGTGAGAAAAATGTTATATTTTCAGTACTAAAAATAATAATGGATTATCATTTACATACAGTCACTATGAGAATTATCAAAAGTTATGTTTAAGAAAAGCAAAAGCAAAGGGAAAAAATGAGGTATGAGAGGCAATGGTGAGCACAGAAAGATATTTGTAAATGTAATTAGCTGTTGGCTGTAAACAAATAGCATTTTCTTTTTAGTTTGTTAAACATTAAACTAAAATGCTAAACAACAACAAAGAGGTGCATATACATATGTTGAACGAGTAGTTAAATTTTGAGTACCACAAAAAAATAACTACATAAAATTGTAACTTCTAAATTGACAGAGGAAAAAACATGAAAGTTAGAAATGTCAATTAACTAAAAGTCACAAAAACAGAGAAAAAGAAACAAAAGAAACAGGAAACAAAGAATAAGGTGGTAGAAATAAGTTTAATGTATTTGTAGTCAACATCTTGTCAACAGATCAAAGTCACCATTTAGAAACAAGATCTATTGCAGATACTTTGGTATGTGCCAGGTGCAGTTCTGAGTGCTGTATGAGTATCTACCCATTCGCTTTTCACAAGAGGCCCATGAGGAAGGGACGTTATTATTACCATTTTGTAAATGAGGATATCAATTTGGAGATAAAGTCACTTGCCTTAAAGGCCTTGGAGCCAGGATTTGATCCAGGTCAGGCACTCTTGAGCTGACTAGCATTGACTCGAATTGTTTTTTCATTAGTAATGTTGCCTGGAAAACATAAGCTGCAGAATTCTATTTGCCATATGATACCACATATTTAAATGCTAAAGTGAATAAAACAATACTATATGGTGTATACCTATGTGTATAGTAAAAGTATTGGAAAAACACATTCATCAGAATGGTATCTAACAATTTCAGGATAGTGGGAGAGGGAGAAGAAACAAGTAAGTGATTTCAGAGGACTTCAGATCTATTTTGTGCTGGTTTCTCAATATATTGTATGAACAAAAATAACAATGTTCAGATTTGTTAAGGCTGAGTGATGATCTGTAAGTGTTTTTATAGTATTCTCTGTTCTTTTCATATGTTTGGAATGTTTCATAATTAAAATATCTTCTCTTGAAATAATTATGGGAAGTAGACTTTGCTCTCTTCCTCACCTTCAGAAATTAGACATTTAATCCTGAATTTTAAATATGAGTAATTATCCTTTTTGCATACTGCTTACTCAGTAAAATACACTACTACCCATCATTACACACATATACAATCATAACAGTGTTGATGTTTGGGAGAGCAATAAATAACAATCCTTTTCATTACCAAAATTTAGAACCAGCTGAGAGAGAGAAAGAGGAAAGGAATCAGGCAAATGCAAAGCAAACCACTTTTGTTACTGATATAGCATGTTGGAAGAATGTGTATAGCTAAACGTAGCCATTTAATACTGAACAGACCTGCCCACCCAGTCAGAGGCAGCACTAGAAAACCACATACCTTTGCAGGGGAGAACCTGCCCCTATACAATTTATGGTAGGGAGAAGCAGATCAAACTTGAGGTTTCCTCTAGAAATAGAGGAAGACGCTGGATTTTGCATACCCTGTTCCTCCTTCAAGTGCCTCCCTCTCTCCTAAATTCACATCTGTAGAGGACTGAGGAGTGGGAGGAGGGATGGAGATTTTTTAGAGAAAATTATCCTAATGGAAGTATAAAGAGTAAGGAAGAAATATTTCTACATCCTTTCCCAATCCACTCAAATAACAGTGCCTTCTGTTCCTTCCAGATGCATGGGATATTAGGAATTTTGAGGACATTCCTAGCATTAATTTATAGCCAAATTGTTGGCACAACTAAAAACATTCTTTCAATCCAGTTAACCACATTAGATATTCTATTGATTGATTGATGGATTTTTCTGGAGACATTACTTCTTAGTTCTGTCCTTTTTTTTTTTTTTTTTTGAGACGGAGTCTTGCACTGTCACCCAGGCTGGAGTGCAGTGGTGCGGTCTTGGCTCACTGCAACCTCCGCCTCCTGGGTTCAAGCAATTCTCCTGACTTAACCTCCTGAGTAGCTGGGATTACAGGCATGTGCCACCATGCCCAGCTAATTTTTGTAATTTGTATTTTTAGTAGAGAAGAGGTTTCACCACGTTAGCCAGGCTAGTCTTGAACTCCTGGCCTCAAGTGATCCGCCCGCCTCGGCCTCCCAAAGTGCTGGGATTACAGAGGAGTGAGCCACCATGCCCAGCCCTGTCCTTTCTCTTACTACTCTCAGGACTAGTTTATCTCTAGATCTGCCTCAGAGCTCACATCTTTCATTATCATCCAGGGCATTCTCATCACCTCTTCCCTATGTTGTATCCTGTTTCCTGCTTTCTTTCTTTATCCCCTTGTTTGGGTAAAGTACATCCTTTTGCAGCTTCCTAATAAGTACATAGGACATACATTTTCCACACAGGCCTATCTTTCTCCTACTTGAGTTGTAATTTGACTAAGCAAGAATTCTAAGTATGATTTCCTCTTAGATTTCTAAAGATACTGATTTGTTGTCTTCCACCTTCTAGTTTTACTGCTAAAAATGTGGCATCATTCTGATGTCTTAGCCCTTTTCTAACTTCTTTTTTTTCTTCCTGGAAGCTTTTAGATTCTTCTTTTTATTCATATCTTCTGAAATTTTGTAGCCCTGTGCCAATATATGCATATATGTATATCCTTCATTTTCTTTTCTTTTCTGAATATTTTTTGTTCACTCAGTCTCACATTTTATTAACTCTTCTCTATTTTCTACTTTTCTGTTTTTTAGTACTACCATTTAGATTTCTTCCATATTATCTTTCAAACCTTCTGCTGAATTTTCTTTTATGATTTTTTTTTATTTTTATTGTAGTGTCCTTTCTTATTTTCTGGATGCACTATCTTATCTCTCTGAGGATAACAAACTTTTTTCCCAGATTTTATTTTTTTTTCAAGTTTTATCTTTCTTTTCTTTCAATTCCTTTTTTGGCTTAGTTGAGTCTTTTTCCTTTTGGTGTTGCAGATTTTCTTCATAATGGGTGACCCTTGGCTGTCCATTCGTATTTTAAAGGTGCACAACTAAAATGCCAACTGGAAGCTCTATGTATTTGTGTATATGTGGGGGGAAGAGGGATTGCCTGTGGACTGGCACATTTCACCAAGGAAAATCAGGAAAGATTTCGACCATTTCAAGGGGGACCTCTCAATAGAATTACAATTAATCTATATGGCTCCATTGTATGAAATAGAAAAAGATATCCCATGAGGCATGTGAGTTGTTTATCAGTTGGTGCCTTTATGCTAATTAGAAAAAGGTAGCCCCTCCCCCTGGCCTAACAAAGCCCCTCCCCAGGGCACAGGGCTTGGTAAGTGGAGCAGGGCTTGGATTTTATCCCTCACTCACCTTCAGCCAATGTCCCTGGTAAAGATAAAAACTGGAGAAACTATGTGAGGGTCCTGCTCCCAAATGTTAATATCTTTAGGCCTTTCTCATAAACAGGCCAGTTTCTCAGAGATAGACCTTTAGTGTTCTGCCTGGGGATGGGGAAGGTTGCTGGTGTAGGGAGAAGCTGAAGGTCTGGCAAAATGAAGCTGGGGAGGCGAGAGTGCCTCTCCATTATGTCTGTAGACTTTCACTTAATTCCCTAGTTAAGTGAAGGAGAGTGACCCACACAGATTTGTACACCTACATGATTCTGCACCTTCAGAGAATAAACTTCCAGTCTTCTGCCTTGATGAGGTTGAGAAGTCTTCTGATTGTAAAGGAGGGAGGAAGAAATATGCAGATCCCTAGAACCCAAGTACTTAACTGCCCTCTTTTTTTTTCTTTTCTACCCCTCACCTCTGCCTCCAGAGACACCTGGTGCCTCCAGAGACACCTGGTGCCTCCAGTTCCTTAACATTTCTGCAGTTCTGCGGCTTTACTGGTTTCCCACTGCTAACCTCCTTTGCAAACTTAGAATTGAGCTTTCTTTAGTGAAGGGCAGTTATCTTTTCTACTATTCAGTAGCTTCCAGATTTTTTTTTTTTTTGAGACAGAGTCTTGCTCTGTCACCCAGACTGGAGTGCAGTGGCGTGATTCCAGCTCACTGTAACCTCAAACTCCTGAGCTCAAGTTGATCTATATGCCTCAGCCTCCTGAGTAGCTAGGACTACAGGCATGAACCACTATGCCTGGCTACGTTTTTAAATTTTTTTGTAGAGGTAGGGCCTCCCTATGTTGCCCAGGTTTGTCTTGAACTCCTGGCCTCAAGTGATCCTCCCACCTCAGCCTCCCAAAGTGTTGGGATTACAGACCTGAGCTAGCGTGCCTGTCCAGCTTCCAAAATTTTGTTGCTGTTTTGTCTGCTGTTGTGTCTTCTCAGGTTTTGTTTGTCCTTTTAGATTTATTCAGTTTTTATTGTCATTTTAGTAGGAAATAAGGAAGCGTAAATAAACACAATGCTTAATTCTTCATGCTTAATTGAAAGTTCCTAACTTCTTTATCATTCAGGGCAGAGGCTCTGCAATTCTGATTTTTTGCATAAATTCATCTAGTATGATTTCTAAATGTGTTAAAGATTTGCTATATTTTTCTCAAGGTGACCATTTGCTGCACTGATTGCTCTGACTCTTTTGATCTTTTTTATAAAATCAAAAGACCTACTTGGCAGAGTCTGTTTTTGATTTTTATTTGCAGTAGTTGAGATGCTATGGCCACTGTAAGATTGTGAAGATGAAGTAGGTTTAAACAAGAGTTAAGTTGCAGCTTTGCTGGATTCATTGCACCTTGGTAAGCAAAGTCACTTGGACTTCACCTCATCCCACAAAAGTTGATTGGCTTCTGTGGGCATTCGGCCAGTTTTTTTAGTGAGTCATATCATGATTTCCTAAGGGGCTGAGGAGACCTGGGCAGCTAATTCATATTTGTGCTATTACTGGGAGGTATGATAATCTCTAGTGTCTGATAAAACTGTGATTTAATGTTATAAATACAGAAATGTACCAGAACATACAATGTTTTTATTAGCCTAGTTGTACCCCACAGCAATACTCTAGTCAAATAAATAAAAAGTAATATTCTTTACCACCTACTTGACCTGAATTATTCTCCTTTGTGGGTGAATATCTATTTGTAAGATCTTAATAACAAATCACAATATCTAATTTACTAAGATACTGTGGTCTGGAAGATATGAGGATCTCTTCTTTCAGCACAGGATTAGTTTGAATACCAGTAAGTGTTTGCGTATGTAGTAACTGCACTACTACATACGCAGGGCCCAGGAAGCCATTGCAAGTTTCTGCAGCACTATTTGTAAACATAGTTCCATATTAACAAAAATAAATAAAATTAAAAATAAAAATGAGGTCTGCTAAAAACCTGCTTTCTGCTTAAACACCTTCCCTTAGCATTGAATGGCCTTCTGCATTGCTATAGATTCTTTCATCTGAACTATTTCATTACTTAGATGCTCTACACGCAGTTAAATAGGGCTTTCCCAGTGCCTTTATAAATATGAAGAAAGTTTATATTAGTGAAAAAATGTGAAGTTACAGGTTCTCTCGTGTTCCATAGAATATATTTCATATTAGTGATGATCAGGATTTGTATGGGATAGGGTATAGAATGAAGTAATTAATTATGGTATTAAATGTTTGGTTTAAGTGTCTCTTATACACACACATACACACAAACACACCAAGAATACAATGTATTTTATGCTCCAGATAACTTGAGCAACTAAAGTTTCTCCTTGCTGCAGTTTATTTATTTATTTATTTTAATTTTTGTGGGTACATAGTATGTGTGTGTGTGTATATATATATATATATATATATATATATATATATATATGTATGTGTGTGCCATATATATATATATATGGCATACATGGAGTTTAAATGATCCTTGCCATTAGGTTGCCAGACTGGGAAAATAAGCTGAAGCGTGATTTTATTTTGGATTAAGGCAAGGAGTTTTAGTACTTGAAGAATACGGAAAGGTTAGATACAGCCAGTATTTGACAGAAGAGTATATAAAGGACCAGTATTTATATGGACAAATGAGAAAGTGGTCGAATCTAGTACTGTTGAATAGAACTTTATGTGATCCTGGAAATGTTCTATATCTGCACTGTCTGACATGGTAGACATAGGCACATGTGGCTGTTTAGCTGTTGAAATGTGGTTAGTATAACTGAAGAACTGAATGTTAAATTTTGTTTAATTTTAATTAATTTAAATAGCTAATAGAAAATAGGATTATTTTACAATTGCCTGGAAATATAGATAACAGAGTTAAGTTATTTTGCACAGCATGTCTAGTCTCTAAAACAAAATCACTTTAGTAGCATGACTATGGTGCAGGTCAGGATTTCTTTCATTCATTCATACATATACTCAACAAATGTTAAGAACCTACTATATACTATACCATACTGTGCTTACTATATTATGCTAGATGCTGAGGTAAATAAGTTGTCTGTTGCTGAATTGGGCTCCAAATAAATGAAAACCTTTTTAACGTCACAATATATACATGAAGCTGACCAATTGAGGTTGGAAGGCGCCAGTGGTTCTATTGCTGTTACAGAACAGGATAGACAAGCAGGGCCCAGGAAGCCATCAGGGGGCACTGCCTATAGCCAGGGAAAGAGGATAGAGCCAGGAAACCTAAAGAGCTTTTTTTTTTAATATAATCAGTTTTAAGGAATGATGTGTGGTCAAAAATTACGAGAAGATAGAGTTCAAAAAGCTGTGATAGAAACAAGGGCCAAAGCCAAACAGAAATTATTGCAAGTTTAGCACAGTCAACAGTACATTCCAGGAAGCTGATGTTTAACCAGATATAATATTGTTCAATGTTACAGCTGAGTGACAGTGATCCTTGTGGAAAATCCATGTACCAGGAAGATGTAGGTCGGCAGAGGTATGGACCTGCCACTCATTTTCCTTATTGTCCTGGCTCAATGGTAAGGGAGGAAGGAGTGAATTTATAAATTGAGTAGTGATGCGGCTCCTATGCAGGTGATTCTGAAACCACGCTTGCCTTGAGAATCCCAGCTAGGTTCTGCATTTCTATACAGTATCTACAAAGGACTTTCTTTGGCTTCTTTTTAAAACTGAATATCCAACCAAAACACTGTAATAACTCTTTCCTGGATTTCAGTGAGAATTTGGAATACATGAAAGAGATGGGAGAGAATCATCTTTTGTTTTGTTCTTTGTAATTTCTGACTCAAAGATTAGAAAGGACTGTAGCCAAATGTTTCTGAGCTTGGAACCTGATGTAAAGCGATCCCTTGCTCCTAAAGGAGAAAGGAAGTGAAGTGGAATAATAATAAATGCCATCTAGTTGTATTGCTTTATAGGCTTAAACTGACATTTGAATAATTCCTTTCAGAAAGTATGTAACATATTTTCAAAAAGTCTATAAATGCTCAGCTTTTTGGAATAATAGAAAGTAGAGTGTCCTTTTACACTTGCCTGCAAATATACAATCCAGTTATTTTCTGAATGGCACAGTGGGATGCATGGAAAGCAGACTTATAGCTAACCAATAGCATTATTTTATTTAAGGAAACCGTTTTTATGATGAAGGTTCAGAATCCTCCCTTTAAGGAATCTTGAGAAAAATGACTCTTCTGAAAGTTTCTTTTCACATCTCTTGTGACTTAACTGTATGTGATGATTTTGACAACTGTAAAGATAGAAAAGGGTTTTTTTTGATTTGTTTATAGAATTGCTCCCTCTTCCCTGGACAGCTGTTTAAATATATAGCTGCACACTCATGCTAAGGAAGGTCCAGAGAGAGGGAAATGCCACTGTCTCTTGAGTTCCTATCAAACAGTACGTCCCAGCTCCTGCAGCCAGGAAGTTCTTTGGGGAAAAACCAGTGGTGCATTTGCACTTTGCTGCCTTTGCTCTGGAAGTTCATTTTCTTTTGTCCTGCTTACAGTGATACAGAACAGCTGCTGGCCACATTGGCAAAATATTTGAAGATTGTTATTTGCTTTTCAGCTTCTTCTTCTTAGGTTAAATAAATGGTGTTTCTTTTGTGTTTCTCTTTGGGGCCAATTTTCTCATCATTTTTTTGTTCCTTTAATCTCTTTGATTAGTTTCCTCAGGACTCCTTCCAAATCCTTTAGAGAAATTTTTAGTTTGTGGGCCTAACATTGAACCTAATAAGTACCCTTATAGAGGGTTGACCAGTGGTGAGCCTGAAGAGATAATTGCCCTGTGTTTCTTATTGAAAATATTTTTGTATAAATCTTGGTTTTAAAATTATAGCATAACATCATTGGCTTGTATTTAACCTGCAGTTTTCACAGGAGCTCAAGTTTTCATATCATGGACACTCAATACCAGGCCTGCTAAATCTTTATTGGTTCAGAATGGTTTTGCTTAGGGAAATTTACACTACTGAATCTTTTTGATTGCATCTATTTGCCAACTCCTACAATATTATTGTCATTAAGGATTTTTATTCAATATTCAAATTTCTGTACCCACTTTGCATAGGATTAAATTTTTGCACATCCAACCAGTCATTTATTTCTTCAACATCTGCTTATTAAACCTGTTTATTTCAGGCACTGTCTGTACTACTACCATGCAAACTATTAATGTATTGACAAATATTTTGGAATCACACTACAACCTTATTTCAGCCCAAAGCAAGGGTGCATTGGCCCCATTTCAGGGAACTGTAGTAATGAACCATGGAAAACACCTCATTAGAAGATGAGTCTTCAAAAATAGTATTAGAGTGGAGTTCTGGTATAGTACCAGCCAGTGAACTGAGCCTGCCAAAGCTGGTTTGAGCATTTGCTCCAGGGTAAAGGTTAAGCAAGAGTTATTGTTTCTTGGGTAACACCATTTAACAAGCTTTATGATGGAAATCGGCCTTCTAATGTTCACTTATTAGCTAAAATCTGAACCTCACTTTTCTCCCCTGACATTCTGCTAACTATGGCTATTCCCAGGTTGACTTAGTCCTTGGTGTTCTATTCTCTCTGTCATTTTCTTTGGTGATATGATTCTGTACCACAATTTTAACTCTTTTTCTTTTTACTTATGTTTATACTTTCTGTCTCCAAGCCCCAGTTCTGTGTCATCAGCTAACTTAAATACCATTATCTGAAATGTGTTTTGTCCTAAACCTAGTACATTTTATTGTCTTTCAAATTGTTGCCAGTTATGATAGTTGCATTTCCATAGCTGACACACACATTCTTCACCTTAAACCTCATTTATTTTTAAAAATTCTGTTGCCCTCTTATTCTGTTATATTCTAATTATCACCTGCCTTAGTGTCCTCCTTCATTAATTCATATTGCCCATTAGGGACAGACTGAATTGTATTATATAACCCTGATCTAAAACCTGCAGTAGTTCCCCATCATCTGCAGGAGGAAGTCCCAACATTTCAGACCACATGAACCTGTGAACGAAACAGAGTCAGGATATTAAACACAATTATTCTAGGGCCTTGCTTTTGCCATTGCTCCAATCATCCAATCAATTCTGTCAAAGCATAGTCTTTATCAGGGAAACAAACATAGCTCAGGTGTAGTGGGTTAAAGAATTAGAGTGATGCAGGTGTAGACATTACAGGACTTGATGAAATCACCTACATTTTATCATGGTAGAAGCTTCTACCTTCATGGAAACTTGAGATTTTTAGAAACTCCTAAAAGGCAGTATCTTTGAAAGTTGGGACAAGGTAAATAGATTACCCAGGATTAAGATTCGAACCAGAAGAAACTGACTCAGGAATAAGATGACTGGATGGAAGAAATTTTAAGCACATTTTTCATAAAGACCTGAAGCAGCAACACCCGTGAACAGGAAATGATATCCCATGAGGAAGAACGAGAAGCCCAGCCAAGACTTTGATGGTTGGAGAGAGAGGGAGGCAGAGCAAAGAACAGATTCATAGAAGGGGAAAAAAAGTGAAATCTTCAGGAAGACTGTTAAGGTAGTATAAACTAGTATTTACATAGGATCTTGGCATCTGATAATTTACCCCTTCCTACAACTCTTCCAAGTTTGTTTTAATAGGCCAGTATTCTGGGGACATGATTCTATTCTGGATTTAGAACTTTTCCTCCAGGAGGAGGTTTTTATGCATATGTTGAATAAAATATTTATTCAGAGATATGGATCATCTGTGCCATATGTGTGAGATGTGGAAGATGGCAAATAAGAGGCAACATATAGGATTACCTGCCTCTTACTACCTCAATCATCAATTTCTTTTCTTAACTAATATGCCAAGAAACAGTTTCACATTTATGTGGCTATCATGGTGTCCCTAGCTTGAGCCTAAGCCAGCCCTGTCACCCAAATGCCCACACGTTTGGGCATGTCTATGAGATTGGTGAAACTGACCTGCCAGAAGACAATTCACAAGAGAGACTAGATAGCATTTCTGGGGAGAGAACTCCTTCCCAGGGAGGATGAAGGTAGACAAAGTTGAACTATTAACAAAACTTTAATAATTGTTGCGAGTGATACTTCTGAGAATATCATTGTGCCCATCACTTGATTCATGTACTGGACATTCCCCCTTAAAATACCCTGTGACTCTTATAGGGAGATAGGCAGGAAAGAACTGTAGAGAAAAACAAAGAACTTCTCACTAAAGTCTTGGGAGCCTTTGGAGCAGTACCTCTTCAGTATTTGTGTGAAAAATTACATCCCTGAATCAGGGAATGAGGCACTTCCAGACAGCTGTCCACTTTTCATGCAACACAGAGTAACTTCTACATATTATGAATTTCAGAGAACCCAGAGCAACTTTAGGTCTTCGGGGACTCAGGTTCACTGGCCAGAATGCAACAGGAGATTGTGGTATCCATAAGACATGGGCACAATGTTTGGCAAAGGCAGCAGTATCCAGCAAGTTACAGTGGTAAATTAGTGATATGTCAGCTGGAGGCAGCGCTAAATACATTTAGACAACATTGAAGACCTCAGAGACTGAGTTTCAGACATCATGGATATGGGGGATACCTAGTGCAGGAAAAGAGAACAAAATGTCAGGTATCATCTATATATGATATATATCATATATATGTGATATATATCATATATATGTGATATATATCAGATATATATCTATGTAGCTGGCAGTGCTTATTCAAGAGCACACATAAGATAACCCTTGGGGATCCATAAATATTTGTGAAGGGCTTTGTAGGACATTAGAGATACTGCATTTTAATAGGTAGGGTCAGGAAGCAGCACAAATAGAATCCTTAAGCTTCTTGGGCTTAGTGGAAGCCTTTTTTCTGTTTCTTTTTTTTTTCTGGTTGTTAAAGACATCTTGAAATGAACAACATATTTGACATTTTTAAGAGAGACACAAGGTATGTTTTAGAAATTATATAAATATATATATGTTGTTTTTATAAGATTAAGGGAATGATAATTATGCCTATGTAAGCATTAGTCTACTGTCTAATAAATGAGATTACATGTGGGAGGCAATATATATATGAAACCCTTTTATACAATGCCTGGAATTTAGAAGTGTGCAAACATTTCTAATATCCTTTCAATCAGGAAGATGCTTATAATTTGGGGCAGGATAAGGATAGAATATTTGATAGGCTTAGAAAAGAATAGCAGTTCAAGCCTGAATGCACATTAGGTTCACCTGTGGAGATTTTTAAATACAGAAATGCCTGGGAGGATCCCAGATCTCTGAATCAGGATATCTGGCTGTAGGACTCAGATGCTTTTTAAACAGTTCTCAAATGGTTCTAATGAGCAGCCAAGCTTTTGAATCACTAATGTGGAAGATGGAGAAAGTATTAGTTTTCTCCTTTATGAAACTAAAAGCTAAAGGACTATCTTTTCTTTCTTTAGAGATATACAAGGGTCAAATGGAAAGAGTACAGGGATGTAGTCCTGGACTTTACTAATGAGGAGGGTCACTTAATCTCTTTCTTATCAGTTTCCCAGCTGTCTAATGGAGGCTGTGATACTTTCTCTCTAGAGCTATTGTATTAACAGCAGCGATACATCTATACCATAGGAGCTGACCTGTAGTACCCATAGTAGGTGGACAATCCACGTTACTTCTTACTGTTCCTTTTCTCCTCTCTCTAGGTAGACAGTGATTTTTTTCCAAAACAAGTGCTTAAGCATCCCAGGTTTACCCTGGACTTTAGCTTTCCATCTGTTTGTATTTGATCATGTGCCTATCTTGCTAGATACTCAAGATTAAGCTTTTGCAGTTCATAGTATAATGGGAGAGATGAACAGCAAACCAATTATACTGATATTTATTCAATTGCAATTTTGTTAAATGTCACAAATGTAAATGACATGTTGTAAGGATCTCTAACAAGATTTTCTAACTTAATTTACAGTGTATTTTAGCCTTCTTCTTTAGCAATCCTTTTTTTCATATTGATGTATTGACAGAATTTTTTTCCTTCAATGTTAATGTAGAAAGGTTTACTGTAGGGAATAAAAATCCCTTATCCACAAGTATAAATGAACAGATGCATACTATATTTTGCCTGTGGGTTACATTATACATATGCATGCTACTTACTGTTATGGGTAAATATGTGTATCCTTAATGCCAAGTTTTCTGAAAGCCCCTTTTTCATGTATTTTAATAAAAAATCTAGGGCTTAAATTTTATTTAAGCTGTTGGATTAAAGACAAAAAGACTAGTTCTCATTATGGTCTAACTTGGCTGAAGTGACAATGAAGAAGCATCTAGAGTCAGCTCTATTTGGCAACACTAAAAAGAGAAATCTCTCTTACCATGTTTCCAAAAACAACTTTCAATTAAATTTCATTTGGGATTAGGGCCTGTCCTAGTTACATACTTCACAAAATTAAGATTTATAACAAAAGAATCTTAATGTTTTAATACCATTAGCCAGAGCTATAATCTATTTATTTTTTTCCCATTGTGTAAAATTCAGTGTTCCTTTTCAAATGGTATGAAAATTTTCTCTCCAAACCTTCTGGTGTTGGCAGTCAGATTTGGTTAGGTGGAAAAATATTTATTCAGTTAAAGATTATATGAGTCTCTTTCGCTTTTCACTTTTTATAAGTAATTTAGGCCTTCAGGCATTTGTGTTTATGAGAAGTTTCGAAGAAATTTCTTTAACTGAATAGTATAGGTGCCCATGTTGAAAGATTATCTTAAAATTGGCAGTAAAAATATTAGATGAATAAATGGCTCATGGAAGTCACTTTTTAAAATTTATCAACCGTTATGTATTTATGTAAAAAACAAAGGCCATTTTTCTCAGTTCATATTACATACCATGTAAAATAAATATCAAAGTAAACGTTTGAGACAATATTGTAAAAATTAGCACATTCAAACCATTTAAAATTTCAAAGCATTGCTAAAACATTAAACCTTTTAGATATGTTCTCAACCAAATATTATTATCTCTATTTTATAACCAGTGTTATGGACATCCAAGGACAATGTTGATTTTGTTAATAAATGGTGCATCAAATAAGTATGTGGTAAAAAATGAAAAGTTGATACATTTATTCTTTCCTTATTATGTAAAGTCTGTTTGTAATAAAAAGGAGTTCTGTACATAGGGCAATAGATTTATGCACAATGAATTCATAATTGTTTCCCAGATGTTCATATTTAACTAGCAACCATTATGAAAGGAGTAAGGCTTTCAAAGGTTATCTTTCTGATTAACAGCTTTCACCATTCCTAGCTGGGTGATTTTATAGTCTGCCAGGGAAATTAACCATGTCACCTCCAGATCATAGCTATCATAATATAGATAGAATATAATTCCACACAGTTCTATCATATTTTGAAATGAAAACTAGATATGACTTGATCTCACTTAATGGTTGGTGTATTGTCATAGACATATTGAATTTCCCAAAATCTGAAGGAAAATGAACAGTTTGTCAAAGTCGGTATATCTGAAGGGAAATGGACAGTTTGTCAAAGTCAGTAGATGGTTTTAAATGCTGTACAAAAATACAGCTGTCAACAGAGATGAAACATATGACTACAAAAGCACTCTCAAGGACTTGGTGTCCAATAATTAATTTTTCTTTTTTTATAATGCAATCCAGTATGCCTTTGTGTCAAACTTCATTTTCTAAGAAAAGCATCTTTTTGAAACAAACTATCCCTGTAGTAAAGAGGAAAATACTAAATCAGAAAAATACCAACTTTATAGATGGACTAGAAATTTTAGGGACTTCTTTGCAGTCTCAACAATGAAATATAGCCATGAATGCATATGCCTTCTTAAGCTTGAGTGGCTTATTATAATCAGACTAAGTTCTCATACCATGTAATTCCATTGTAGTTTATGACTTAATTCCGTAAGAATTATAACTGAAAGAGCCTTGCCTAATCAAAATAAAATTTAATTACATATTCACATTATAATCTAAAGAACAAAGGTTTTAGTTTAAAATCAGCTTTATCTCTTTGTCCTGAATGGAAAATAAAGAATTATAATTTTTTCCTCAGTTGTGACTTTCTTGCCAGAACTCATGAATGTTTCTGTATTCCTCTAATGTCCAGATTTAGATATTTCCTTATCCAACCATTTTTCCTTCTATATCTTCTAACCCTTTGTGTTAGTTTGCTAGGGCTGCCATAACAAAATGGCACAGACTGGATAGCTTAAACAACAGAAATTTATTTTCTCACGGTTCTGGAGCTAGAAGTCCAAGATCAAGGTGATGGCAGGTTGGTTTCATCTGAGGCTTCTCTCTGTGGCTTGCAGATGGTTGCCTTCTCGCTGTGTCCTTACAAGGTCTTTATTTTGTGTTGTGCATCCTTGGTGTATTTCTTAGTGTCCACATTTCCTGTCCTCTTAAGGACACCAGTCAAATTGGATTAGGGCCCACCCTAAAGGCTTCACTTTATCCTAATCACCTTTCTAAATGCTCTATCTCCTAATACAGTCACATTCTGAGACACCAGGGGTTAGGGCTTCAACACATGAACTTAAGGGAGACACAATTCAGCCCATATTGCCCTCTATGTTTCACTCCCACTCTCTCTCCATCCTTTGCTTTTTCTTATTTCCTTACTTTTTTCTTAAACACTTATTGAGCACCTGCTTTGTATGCTAGCCAGTGGGCTAGAGGCTGAAGATACAATAATTAATGAATGAAATATAGTTTTTTCCCTTAATGATCTAAGGGAGAAAGCAGGGAAGTAGCTAATTACATTACAGAAGGGTGATGTTCTGATCAGAGTGCACATAAGATGCTATGAAAGAATAGGGCAAGGCCATTGAAACCAGCCTTGAGGAGTTAAGGAAAGCCTTTGCTGTAAAAGCAGCCTTTTAGCCAAGTCTTGAATGACCAGTAGCAATTAGTCAGGAGAAAAGTATTGAGAGAACGTTGCACAAAGAAGAAGCAACATATACAAGAGCCCATAGATGGGAAAGACATGGCATAATTGGACCCTGCAAGTAATTCAGTAGAGTTTAAGTGAAGCAGTTTTGAAGGTTGAGACAGGAACAGTAAGTAATGGAGAAATACTGAATCAGCATTTGGTACCATTTACAAATAAATTTATATAAAAATAAATTTATGCTTGGAAAAATAAGTCATATTAAAATCAAGATAGAAATGACAAACTTGGAAAAAATATTAAGAACTCAGAGCAGAAATAGCTAGTTTCCTTAATATAGAGAGTTCTATGAATCAGTGTGAAAAGGCCAGTAAGATAGTAGAAAAATGCACAATGGACTAGAGTTGAAAGAAAAAAAATGTAGCCATTATTTAAAAAAGCACGTATTGGTGAACATATGCAGAAACTGGAACCCTTGTTGGTAAGAATGTAGAATGAACAGCCACTATGGAAAACAATATGGAGTTTCCTCCAAAAATTAAACATGGAATTATCATATGATCTAGCAATCCAATCCCGCTTCTGAGTATATATCCCAAAACACCCTGAAATCAGGCTCTTAGAGAGATATCAGCATTTCCATGTTTATTGCAGTGTTTTTCACAATAGCCAAGATATGGAAGAAAATGTGGTCTATACAGGCAACTTAATATTATTTGGTGTTAAAAAAGAAGGAAATCTTACCATGTGCTGCAACATGGATGAACCTGAAGGACATTATACTAAGTGAAATAAGCATGCCATAAAAGGACATATACTACATGATTCCACTTATATGAGGTATCTAAAAGAGTCAAACGCAAGAAAACAGAGAGTAGAATTGTGATTTCCAAGGGTTGGGGACAGGAAGAAATAGTGGTTACTGTTCAGTGTGTATAAAATTTCCATTATGCAAAATGAATAAGTTCTAGAGATTGGCTGTACAGCATTGTGCCTCTAGTTAACAATATTGTATTGTACATTTAAATGTTTTTTAAGAGGTGATATTGTTTGGCTGTGTGTCCCCACCCAAATCTCATTTCAAATTGTAATCCCCATAATCCCCATGTGTCGAGGGAGGGACCTGGTAGGAGGTGATTGGATCATGGGGGTGGTTTCCCCCATGCTGTTCTTGTGATAGTGAGTGAGTTCTCATGGGATCGGAAGGTTTTATAAGCGGCTCTTTGCCCTTCTCTTTCTCTCTCTCAGCTGTTGCCATGTAAGACATACTTGCTTCTCCTTCTGCCATGATTGTAAGTTTCCTGAGGCCTCCCCAGCCATGTGAAACTATGAGTCAATTAAACCTTTTTTTTTTTTTTTATAAATTACCCAGTCTCGGGCAGTTGTTTATTGCAGTGTGAAAACAGACTAATATAAGATAGTAGCTCTCATGTTAAATGTTCTTACCATAATAAGACAAATAAATAGAAGGTATTATCGATAGAACGTTGTACCCAAAAGAAAATGCAAGTAGTTATTAAACATGAAAAAAAATGTTGAACTTCACTAAAATAAATGTAGAACAACACTACTACAAGATCCCTTTTCATCTTTGGTATTGTCATGTATTTAAACATTTGATGATAGTATGTTATAAAGGCAAAGAAAAACAGGCACTCACCTACATTGCTGGTGGGAGTGTTAACTGTTACAATCTCGACGGTGCAAAATTTGGCAATATCTCTGAAAATTATAAATGCACAATCCCAGCAATTTAATTTCTAGGAAATATGCATACATGTGTGAAAAGGTGTTTATGCAAGTTTTCATTACAGTACTAATTGTAATGACAAAAGTTTAACATCTAATAGTTAATAATATTCATTAAGTATTTCAGGGGAGGTGTAGTGATATCTGCAACTTATTCAGAAATTAATAAAAAATTACAATGGATTCATAGAGTGATGAAGGGATGATTAGGTATATGGTAAGGCAAGTAATACTAAAATATTATTTATAGAAACTATCTGGTTTGTGTCTGAGTGTTTAATATAAAATTATTTCAACTTTTGTGTACATTTGAAAACTTTTATAATAAAATGTTGGGGAAAAAGTTTGCTAATAATCTTAAAGTCTGACCACAGGGACATGGTTTACTTAGTGATAGTGCATCCATATTATGGAACATGACAGCTGTTTTAAAAAAGAATGAGACAGATGTTTGTGTCCAGATAGGGAAGGGTCTGCAAGATATATTATGAAGTGAAATAAGAAAGATGTCAAAGACTATGTATAAGACCACCATTTGTATATAATGGCTCTGAAAGGCTGTGCAAAAAATTGGGAAAAAATATAGCCTCTGGTAGGAGAACTTCTTGTGGAGGAAGGAGTGGAGGGGAGGTATATTTTTTTCTACATTTTTGAATTTTGAATCATGTGCATTCACTGTCCATTCAGAGGTAGAGTTTAAAAACATAATACTTATTGGGCCAGATACTTCCGATGTCTTACTTTATGTAATTCTCACTGTCAGCCTGTGAGGTAGGTATTATTATTATTACCATTTGCACTTGAGAAAAAGAGAGGTTCTGAGAAGCTTAATAATTTATCCAGCACCATACAACTAATAAAGGAGAAAGGCATAGTTGAAACGTAGGTGTAACTTTGCACTGCCAGTAATGAGAGGAGTGTGGCATTCCAGACAGAGAAGTCAGCCTAAGCAAAAGGCACAAAGGTGGGAGAGTAAAGTGCTCGTTGGGCACCTGTGAGCAGTGTAGAGTAGTTGGAGTGTAAGATGCATTGTGGAGAGTAATGGGAGAGAATGTAGATGAAAACTACAGGCCAGACTGTAAAGGAAACTTAGACACTACATTATGAAATGTGTACTCTGTCTTACAGATACTTAGGAGCCATAGGTGATGTTAAATAAAGCTTTTAAAAATTACTTTTTGATCCTGTATGGTGAAGGATAGGCAGGCATAAAAAAACGACAAGTTTGGGCAACTGGCTTAATGGGGAGCCTGTATTACCTATGTTGTTTGGTGAGTATCTGTGAAGTAATGAATAAGAAATATTTTATGAACTGCAAAGTGCTTTTCATTATAAATTACATTTTTTATAGACCTATGAAGAAGATCCTACTTTTCTGTATTAGAAACCTACCAAATAGAACTACACAGAGATAATTTACTTTAGAAAGAATTGTGTCCAAAGAGGACTTATTTCTGACATAAAAGGGTGCAAACAGACTGCTTCCCATTTTTTTCTCTAAATCGCATCTTCCTTTTAAAAAGAAAGTAATACAAATAGCTGGCACTATTGAGGGATATCTATGTATCAGAATTTTCTCAACTTCTTTGTTGCAGTATTTAGTGTACATGTATGTTATTTACTAGCAAAATTTCCCTTGCATTTTAATGCATGCTGACTCATTTGAATTCATTTAAATATAGTGTTACTGATTTACATTCAAGGATGATTTTACATTGTTATTTATAAAAGTAAAAAATTGGAAACAACTTAAATATCCACAATAGCAGTTTGTTTAAATAAATTATTGTGCATTTATATTATGGGATATTATGCAGGCATCGAAAATAGGATTTCAAAGAGTTATTAATGGCCAATAAAAAATAGAAAACAAAATTGTATCTACAGCATGACTATCACTTTGTTAAGAACATGAGTGACTTCCAGGTTGTTAAATCCAACTATTAATCCTCAGCCATCATTGTACTTGACCTGCCTGGAGCATTTGAGTGTAGATCACGATCACTCCTGCCTTCTTTAAATACTGTCTTCACTTGGCTTCTGGGACAGCACTCCCTCTTGCATCCTTCTTAACTTCTCTTGTTTTCCTCATTCCCGCTCATCTTCTCAGGCCTATAAATGTTGGCATAACCCAGGACTCAATCCAATTTTCTTTACCCTTCCCCATCTATACCTTCTCATCCAGTTTCAGGACATTAAGTCCCAAACACACATCTTCAGCTTGGGTATCTCCCCTGAACTCCAGTCTGCTCAGGAATTCCACCTGCTTGTCAAGTAAGTGCACCATACTGAACTTATACAAGATAAACTTCTGGTTCTTTCCTTTACATTCTTTCAACAATCTTCACTGTTTGAGAAAATGGCAAGTCTTTCTGACTCCAGTTGCTCAGGCCAAAAGTCATGCCATTATCATGGGCTCTTCTCTTTGACATCTCACATTTTGGTTACCTAGGGAGTGAGAGAGCTGCTGTCATCGCCTGTGGCCTGTACATCATAGAGAGGTGATTCTCCTGAGAAATGAAGGACTGAGTTTCTCAGTGCAGCTGTAGAAGGCTTGGAACCTAACAACGGTTGGCCTGATAGTGAGGGAAGGAGATAATGTCCCATTGAATTCAAATTTTAGAATAGATTTCTCCCTCGTCTTAATCCATATTCTTATGTCTCCCATTGTTTCAATTCAAAACCTCAGGTTTTTGGTTTTTTTTTTTTTCATTTGTAAAATGGGCATAATAATTGCCTGGGCCTCATATTGTCTTCTTACGTGGATGAATTTTTTTAAAGCAGGTAAGGCTTTAAAAAAAGGTAATACTAATTAATATATTAGTATTTTATATTATAAAATAAAGAACATAAAGGTTTATTATGTAAACTTTTTTTTTTTTCTCGAAACAGAATCTTGCTCTGTTGCTCAGGCTGGTGTGCAGTGGCGCGATCTTGGCTCACTGTAACCTCTGCCTTCTGGGTTCAAGCGATTCTCCTGCTTCAGCCTCCTGAGTAGCTGGGTGTATTACAGGCGCGCACCACCATGCCCGGCTAATTTTTTATATTTTTATTAGAGACGGGATTTTACCATGTTGGCCAGGCTGTTCTCAAACTCCTGAACTTGTGATCCGCCCGCCTCGGCCTCCCAAAGTGTAAACCCTTAATAAAATATTAACTATTACTTATCTGTTACTTATTTTTACCTCTGGTGATATACATATATCCTATTTATAATAGAGATACTTACATAAATTGATTGCTACTGAGTGGAGCATTTTAGAGATATGAGAAATTTAGCAAAAACTTTGTTCTGAAGCTGCTTGTGATGTGAGTCAGTGGAGTTTTTAAGGGACACTATTAAAAAATCTCTTGCTAATTTGAATAATTTAAACAAATTATATGTTTCAGTTTTTGTCTATTTTCTTGCCAGTTTATATCAGGATGGATAGAATTATCTGCCTCATTTTTTTTTTCTTTAAATGTTTTAAAATGTGGAGTCCTCTCTTCTGTTACACAGTACAGCTGCATATTATCCCAAGTGTGCATTCAATTTATATATACACCGTGCTATTCTATTGGGGAAAATATGGTCCTTCATCTAAAAGCCTAACATAAATTTGACACACTTCCATGAAGTGTGAAATGGTTGAGACTTCTAATCCTAAATTATTTTCTAAATGTTCATTTATATTAAAAGCCTCAGTAGGCATATGTACTCCAAATGTTAATATCCTAGGGGATTACTTACAATGGTCATTTGGACATAGCCACAAAGGAGACTATGAAAAATTTATCAGAGGTGGAATGGGGCTTGATAAGTCATCTTGGCAGAAACAGTCCTATATTGTTCCAGGCAGATGAGTATCACTCTTATTGCTTTTAAGGATATTTGAGGAAGAAAGGTTATATGACCAATTGGTATCTTATTTTGGTATTTAATAATCATAGCTGTGAGGAAATCTTTCCTTAATCTTTCTTTATAGGTGTTACTATTTAAGCCTTCCTTCTCCCCTTCCCCCCACCCACCTTTTTATTATGTGCTTGGTAGAGAACACCTGGCCTATAAAATAACTTTTTGCACTTATTTTTGAGTTGTCTCCTAATCTTTCATTTTTTAAGCTAATGTTCTTAAAGATTCAACTTAACCATTTTGTGGCATTTTTAAAAAGGCAATCAAATGCTTTATATATTTTAATCTTTCTTCAGAACTGAGATTAGAACTGCCCTTCTCCCCCGCCCTCCTGTCCCCTCCCCCTCCTCCTCTCCTCCCCTCTCCTCTCCTCTTCTCTCCTTTTTTTTCTCTCTCTCTCTTATTTCCTTTCTTCCACTAATTCTATCATTCATCAATACTTTTTCTAAACCTACCCAGATCTGCCACTATGCTACGTATTGTGAATGCAATGGGGAACAAGATACATGCAGTCCATTTTCAGATGGAGTTCACAGACAAGTGCAATTCTGTCCCTCATTTAGGATAATGTGCAACAGTTGCCTGTCTTTGTTTGCCAGTGTCAAAGACCAGCCCATCACAAAATCATAATCATACAGTTTTTTAAAAAGTGATGAGTCCATCTAGGTTTTTATTAGCGTCATAACATTGAACTTGAAAGTTCTACATTTTGTTCAACATCACTTTACTGTGAGCCAAATAAGAGCCACAGAGGAATTCCATTCAGGAATGAAGGAAGAGACCTACATAGGCAATCTTAGAAGGGGTTTATGAACCAGCCCCCCCACCCCCACCAAAAGTGAATGTCTTGCCAAAGAAAAAGTAGTCATTCTAAAATGATTGTATTCCAGGATGCAGGGAAAAATGTGCAGTGCCTTTGAGAATGGGTGGAGAGTGATAGTAAATCAGGAAACTGGCAGTTGTATTTAGGCATTAAGCTAACGATGAGAATATTTGACATTATTGGTGCTAATGTTTCTTTTTTTTTCCTTAAATTTTTGCGTAGTTTTCCTCTGTATAAACAGTGTCTCAAAGGGACATTCCTAACTGGAGTAGAATATTGGGAAAGCAGTAGAGGGGAATTATGGTAAATGGGCCTCCACCAAAAGACAAGGCTGTAGTCTTTTAACTCTTCACTAAACAATGCCAAAATTTAAAGAAACATTGGCACCAGTAATGTGAAATATTCTCATTGTGGGCTGCTACAGCCACTGCCACCATCATTACTAACAACTCACAGGCAACTGATAGGAAAACACTAATAAAGGTCATTAGAATTATACCAAACACTGATGCCAAATAACAACATGCACTAATAATCCTAGCCACATGTACTGAGTATTCACTATGTGCCAGACACTGTAGCAAAGACCTTATCATACATTATCTCATTGGGTCATCACAACATATCCACATGGTAGAAAACTATTAATGTCCCCGTCTTACAGATGAGGAAATAAAGGCATGGAAAAATCATGTAATTTTCCTTAGGTTACACAGCTTGTAAGTGATGGAGTTATTCAAACACAGATCTGTCTATTTGCATAGAAAACAATCATAACCACGAAGCTATGGTTCCTCTTCAGAATCTCTGACCTTTTACCTCACTCACAAACCCTCATTTCAAGCTGTTCGTCAATCAGAATTCATTATTTTTCCCAAGTCCAGCACATACACAGTTGGCAACTGAAGACAGGATAAGAGACTTACTAATAAAAGCTTTCAACATAGTGCTTACTTAAAATACAGAGACCACTCAAGATTAAAATTCAGACTTTCAAAGAATGGTGATTCATTTTGCAGCTGCAACTGCTAACTATTAACTAATTAACTCCTCTCACTATTGACTGTTTACCCTATTTTAAGGTGGCAGAAATATCCAGTTAATCCCACTGTTATCAATTGTAGAGACATTAGATTTACATGTAATCATAGCTCAAAATCATGCTTGTGGCTGTAATAAGTGGTTGCATTCTTTTATCAGTAGATTTAGTTTCCTAGTGGCCAGTAATTTTGAACTCTCAATGTGTGCTGTGATTGAAATTAAATATTCATTATGATCTTTTGAAGTTTACATTGGAAAGTACTTCAAAAACTATCAGTACATCAAATTATAATGTATTGTATCTCTTTTAAAAAACCTGATAGTGGTAATCCTTTGTGAATTTTGCCCTTTACAATTCTTTCATCAGTGCAGATGTTAGCAGCTCACATGGGACATCTAAAAAACGCCTTCTCATAAAAGCTGTGGAAGAAAGTGAGCCATAAATCATGGGCTTTAAATATGGGGAGAGTGTCTTGCTATGGTTAGTACAGTTGCTCAAGAACAAATGATTGTGAAAGGAAAGGTTTAATACTTTATTAGCATTACCTTATCATAGCACTTTCTTATTGATTTGTTTACAGCTGATTGGACTCCTTCTTTTAGGAGTATCATTTAGGATTTACTGTTTTGTATTTTTCAATAGCTTTTTTTAATTACCAGGAAAAATATTCAAAGAAAATTATTATATTCATTGTGTGTGTGTGTGCGTGTGTGTGTCTTTGGGACAGGTGCCCTCAGATGACATTCACATTTATTACATTTTATATTTCATCTCTCATAGCTCTTGGACTTGACTGATGGTTAACAGTAAATATGTATCATTATTCTTTCATGCAACTTGGCCATTGGCCGTGATTTTCATAGCAGTAATTTAACTGCTGAGGCTGCAAGTCAAGATTCATCAGTTTTATTAGGATGTTGAACCTTAAAAGCTTATGGTTGATGATGTTATTGACTCTCTGCATTTCCTCTGTAGTGAAGGGAAAACTGGAAGTGCATCACTTTTTAATATAGTTCACATGTGGGTGGCTATAAGCTATGAGCTGGAAATTCTGTCAGAGCTCAGTAAGTGACCAACCCCGTTACCTCCACTCTGCCACTTCAGTGGTGGAGCATTTTAGTTGCTTCAGAATGCTTTAGTCTTTCACTTTGAAAACATAAACTTACAGACTTACTTTGTTTTCTGACTTTTTGGTTTTTTAGAATACTCACCCTTTTCCAATTTCTAGGCATGTGTTGCATGAAATTTTATCCATCTTTTTATTATGAAAATGTTTCAAATACAGAAAAGTTGAAAAACAGTTGGAAAAAAGACATCTTTTGCCTTAATGTATCAATTGTTACCATTGTTTCTGACTTATTTTCTCTTCTTATATATAGATATAAATGTATAAATTTTATTTATTTTTAAATTCTTATTTATTTTTTAATTTTTGCTCATTTGTTTTATTTTTCCTGAATCATTTGAAAGAAAGTTGCTAAGTTGTAGATATTAAGACATTTTATTCCTTAGTACTTCAGCATGCATCACTTAAAAGTAAGGATATTCTGTTTTATAATCAAAATACATTATTACATCTAAGATAGGTAATGATAAATGCACACTGTGATCTAATATAAAGTCCGTATTTCAGTTTTCTCAGTTGCCTTGAAAATTCTCTTAGTTTTAATTTTCTTTTTAATTCAGGATCCAATTAAAATCTACTCATTGTATTAGGTTGTTATGTCTTTTTAGTTTAATCTAAAGTTTCCTTCCACCATTTCTTCCTGGCTCTGCTTTTTTTGTTCTTTGTGAACTTGACTTTTTTGAAGAGTTCAGGTCAGTAGAATATATATGAAAGTCTGGATTTGTCTCACTGTTTCCTTATTAAATTCAGGTTAAACCAGTGGTTCTCAAACTTTAGGGTATTTCAGAGCCATCTAGAGGGATTGTTAAACATAGATGGCTTGGCCCCACCCCCAGAGTTCCTGGGGTCTGTGTTGGAGCCCAGTCATTTGAATTTCTAACAAGTTCACAAGTTTAACAAGTAAGTCTGTAAGTTAATACCCATGCTGCTGTCTCAGGACTACACTTTGAGAACCACTGGGTTTCACATTTTTCACACTGATAACATGTGCATTCCTTATTGCATTACATCAAGGACACATGGTGGCATCTGGTTTTACTGTTAGTGACAAGTTTGATCATTTGGGTGACATAGTGACTGCTAGATCTCTCCGTTGTAAAGATTCATTTTTTCTCCTTTGTAATTAATGAGTTATCTGTGGGATTTATTCTCTGAAATTAATAAATAATCTTTAAGGGAAAGGTGATATAAATTTCTGTTCCTTAACAACCAGGTTTTAACATCCAGTGATGATCCTTGCCTGAATTAATTGTCATTATTCTTTAAAAAACTTTTTTTTATTATTCCTTCTTCTCTCCCACCCTCTCCTCTCTCTTCCTTGAATCCTTCCTTTTCTCTCTCCCCTACTTTCTTGCCTCCTCCTCTCTCTCTTTCTGTCTCTCCTTCCCGTCCTCCCTTTCTCCAACACACATGCACACAGTTTTTCTCTGTCTCACTCACACTCACAAACAGAGTGTCTCTGCTACTTCTCTTTCTCTCTCTTCCTCTACCTTTCCTCCTTTCCCTCTTTTTACCTCCCAGTGTTATGATTTAATACATTGTTATTCTTTTTGAAGCTTCCAGATTCTTTTTTTTTTTAATTGAGAACCTCTCCTGTGTCCTTTTCAGATGATGCCATAGCTATTGTTAAGCACTTCCTGGCTTTCTGGCAAAAGGTATTCAAATCTTACCTTGTTCTTTTTCTGCCCTAGATCTGGAATCAACCATTTCTTTTGGTTGGTTTCTTTTAATAGGGAATGTTATTTAGAAGCCAATATCTGGGTTTTTGGGGTTCTTGTTGCTATTTGGAATGTCATTGCTGCTAAGACAGACCATAGATTTAATTTTTTAAGAAGTGATGAGATCATGCTGACAAACTCCAGTTCAAATGCAGCACCACGGGTTTCTTCATCATCTCCCCCCAGATCCTATTGGCATCCCCATTTATCTACAGTGAGAACCTTGATACTTAAAAAAATAAAAATATCTACACACACACACACACACACACACACACACACACACTCTGTCTCTCTCTCTCTAATTTGCTCCAATACATACAAAATAGATTCAGAATTACAGCAATAATACTTCAACCAACAATAACAAAACTACTGAGAAAATTAGATTTTCTTACAATTATTGTTCTTCGAATTTAGTAGAGTGTATACAGTCTGAGTGCTGAATGCAAGAGTTCCTTTAATTATCATTTTTGTTTGTATTATCAACTTGATATAGAGTGTATTACAATTGTTTCTTTGTTATTCCCTTTTAGGGTTTACTTTTTCCAACTATTTTAATTTAATTTTTGAATATGTAAATTATTTCCATAGTCAAAGTTAAAACTACATAAAAATGGAAAAGTTTCCATTCTATTTGTATTTACTAGTTTCAGGTTTATTTTCCTGTGCTTATTTTTGATAAAAGTAAATAAAAATATAAACATTTACCCCTATTTATTATACAAAAGAGGCGTATTATTCATTATACATTCTTTGGCACCTTTTTTTAAAAAAAAGAAACCTAATATTATATCCTGGGAATCACCCTAGTATCAACTCATAAAGATCTTCCTTCTTTTTTCTCACAGGTACATATAACCCATTGTGCATGCACTGTAGGCAATTTAACCAGTCTCCTAGGGATGGATATTTAGGTTGTTCCCAAAGTTTTGCTGTTATAAGTAATCTAAGTAGCTTAGCTGTCTTGATTCAGGATCTCTCATGAGTTTGAAATGAAGCTATGGGCCAGTTTTCATAAGGTTTAGCTGGGACTGGAAAATCTACTTCCTAGCTCACTCACGTGGTTGCTGGCAGGCTTTTGTTTCTTGCTGTTTAGACTTCTCCATAGGCTACCTGAGAATCCTCAAGACATGGCAGTTGGCTTCCCTCTCTCCAGGGCTGCTTTCTGACATGGTAGCTATCTTCCTGTAGAATATGATGAGAGAGAAAGCATATTCATCCACCTATCCCCACATCTAAGGCAAAAACCATAGTCATTTTATAACCTAATATTAACAGTGACATCCAATCCTGTCTGCTATATTTTATAAACTAGAAGTGAGTCACCACGTCCAGCCCATACTCAAGGGAAGGGGAGGGAATAATCTCTACCTGTTGAAAAGAGAAGTGTCAAAAAGATGTGAACATATCTTGAAAACTACCACATTGTCTTATTCACAGTCCTCAAGCTCACAACATTTGTTCTATGTATGATAGCACCTGTGCTAGATGCTGTTACAAATATTATCTCATTGGAGTCCTAACAACCATCTTGTACTTGCTCTAGAGTATAACTACACATCCATTGAATTGCAACTTTGTAGTTCTAATGATGGTTCCAGGTTATAAATCTGTTTGTATAATTATATTCAATATTAAAAAAATTTGAGTAGTTTGTCTTACATCTTTCTGTTTTTCAGTGTCTTAGCTTTTGTTTAAAGCTTTGAGGACAATGATTTATTTTTATTTTTATTTCTGTTTTCTATTTTTGAAACAGTTTCACTTCATTGCCCAGGCTGGAGTGCAGTGGTGCAATCTCAGCTCACTGCAATCTCTACCTCCCATGTTCAAGTGATTCTCATGCCTCAGCCTCCCAAGTAGCTGGGATTACAGGCATGTGCCACCATGCCCAGCTAGTTTTTGTATTTTTAGTAGATACAGGGTTTCACTGTGTTTGCCAGACTGGTTTCAAACTCCTGACCTCAAGTAATCCTCCCACCTTGGCCTCCCAGAGTGCTGGGATTACAGGTGTGAGCCACCACACCTGACCAGGACAATGATTTTTAAAGAAAGCTTGTTTGGGGTTGGGACATGGGTAGTGATAGATAAAAAATGATTGGCTACGGATTGATTGGTGAAGCTGGGTGATGGGCCAGTACCTGGGGAATCACAGTGGTATTTAATCTACTTTTATGTATTTGTTTAAAGTTTTCCTGTATGCAAAAGATAAAAAGAAAAAAAAACTTCTCTCTCCCTATATTTTCATTTTTTGTTTTTAAAGATTTATTGTGATCAGAGAATATGCGCTTTTGATCATTGGGAAAAAACAGATTTGTTATTCTTCTGAGAACTATCAGGTTTTCTGGGTCATCAGGAAGAACCTCAGGTTCCTAATGTGTAGCCCTTCTTCTGTGATAGGATTCCAAAACTTTATTATACACAGAATCACCTGTAGAGCATGATAAAATGTCCCAGTGCCCAATACCAGCCTGTCTTAGTCTGTTTTGTATTGCTATAACAAAATACCTGAGGGTGGGTAATGTATAAAGAAAAGAGGTTTATTTGGCTTATGATTCTGCTGGCTGAAAAGTCCAAGACTGGGCAGCTACATCTGGTGAGGGCCTCATGCTACTTCCACTCAAGGTGGAAAGCGAAAGAGGAGCAGCCCTGTGCAAGGGGATCATGTAGAGACTGAGGATGCATTAGAGAGAAAGCAAGAGAGATAAACCTGGGAAGCCATGCTCTTTTTAACAACCTACTCTCTGCTCTTCAGGAAGTAATCTATTCCCCCTCCTCACCTCCCCACCCCGCCCCCCCGCCCACCTCCCAGGAGAACTCATTCAACCCTACCCCACCTCTGCTAAAGGGCCTCCTCCTTACACTGCCACATTGGGGATCAAATTTCAACATGAGTTTTGGTAGAGACAAACCATATTCAAGCCATAGCGTAGCCATTATAATTTAGAATATTTGGATAGAATAAAGAAATCTGCATTTTAAACAAGTACCCCTGGGTGTTTCTGATTTCAGTGATAGATGGACCCTAATTTGATATATCTTGTATGGATTTATAGCAAGGACACCCTTACAAGTAAGGCAGAACAATGGATACAAAGATGAATGTGATGTTCCTATATTATGCTCCATTTCCTCCAGAAACTTGTAAACTAACAGAGGAGACAGATATGCAATAAGTGTTATAATAGGAGTAAACAGAATCGGGCTGTTTCCATATTATTATACCAGGTCTCAACAGGGAGTGAAGATCATATGGAACAAATTTCTTGTCTGGATGAGCAAAATAAGAGAGAGCTTTGGAAATATAGAGAAATATATAATTGTTTGCTTTTTTAAAGAATCAAATGTTTCAAGCTAGTCTTGGCAAGTGCTGAAAATTGTTCATTTTATAGATGATGTCTGATGAGTACCAGGGTTTTAGGTTATGAATTAAAGAGGAATCCACACGCTTTGAATACAAAATGTGCAAATGACGAAGATATTTTAAGAACTAACGCATTGCGGTTCAGAAGATCAACTCACTTAAATGTATCCGTAGACCTTAGAGGAACTCAGGGGTGCAATGGGCAGTCATTATCTTAATTTTTCCAATCTGTTCAGGAATACTGAGAGAGTGTTTAAGAATCCACACTATTGAGAATTCAGGTGTTACCATTTGGCCACCTCATTGTTCAAGTAAAATCGATTTTGTGAATAAGATTGTATACTACTCTTTGCATTGCTGTGGAAGGCATAGTGTTTGGGGAGAGAACTAACAGTTAATTGAATGTCTAATGTGAAATATTTTCTTTACAACCAAATTATGAGATATAGGTAGTATCACCATTTTGATGACAGGGACACAGATAATGACTAAATTATTAAAGGTAATGACTTTTACAGCTAATTCATAATTATTGATCATGTATATATCCCCAGGTGATCAAATCAGTTTCCTTTTGGTATGGAGTTAAATTAGTATTGTTGAGATTAACCTTTTCTAATAATAATCAAGCAAGAGGAAGCTTCTAGTTCAGTAGTTTCAAAATAATAATAATGGCTGACTTATATTAAGCACTTATGAATTAGGTATGGTGTTTAGTGTACATATATACACACACACACACACACAGAGATATATATACACACACACATATATATACATAAATATATAGATATACACACATTATATATTTCCCCCTAAATTAAAACAATAATCTCATTACATAGATGGCTGTTTATTTAGGATAAGGGAAAGCAAATCCAATTTATGCAATTGCTAGCCCAAGTTACACAATTATTGCATATCTCCCACTACTACATTACTTGTGAGTAATCTCTTAAAGGGGTAAGATCAGAGGAGAAATAAAACAACCAAGCCAAACTTTTTGGAGAGGATGATTATTTAAAATGAGTCTTTGGATTAAACACTAATGATCGAAAGTTATTAGGTTATTAGTTTTGCCATTAAAATGGGAAAAAGCGCAATTACTTTTGCATCAACCCAATATATTTCTATTTTCAGAGAGTTGTCAACATTAAATAGCATGATTTGCTTGCCTTAGTTTGTATCTGCAGTTTTAAAAAATTGCTTTTGTCTTGAGTGAAATAAAACAAGCATGTAAAAGTTGAAATGCAACTAAAAAATCCAGGCAATTAGAGAAACGTTCACAACCCCATCACGTGTTCCTAAACAAGAGTCCAGAACTGACTCCAATTTAGTCCAAAATCACTGAAGAGGAAAGTTTACTTCTAGTTTGGAAAATACAGATGCTTCAAATGCAGATAAGTTCATTTAGCTGGAACAAATTGTATCTTTTGTCTTAATCTCAGTGTTCTAAATGAGTCATATGGCTCTCCTGAATACCTCCTGTGGAATTAGTGTAGGAGATGATTTGTCAGTGAAATAATGAATCAGTGACCTTCTGTTCAGACTACACCAGGAACTAACTTATAACTAAATTATTTGAGAATAAGCCCTCAAATTTTGTGTCTCGTTATTCAGAACTTCCGTTTGGTGCATTGACATAAATGCCTGCTTAGTAAACACCGTTAAAATTGTGTACTAACTAGAGGCAGAGCTTTGCTCTCATTAAATCTTTACAGGTTGACTGTAAAGGCTACTTACAATCATACATTCTTAGAATTCTTTCTCCAAGCCTCACCTGCCAGTAGAAGAATTTTTAAAAACCTGCATAGCTTATAAGTATATGCAAAAAGTATTGCTTACCCTCTTTTATCTGTTTGACACTTGTCTTTAGACTGCAAGTATACCCTTCTTGCTTGTCTGCCTATTTCTTATATGTACTTCTTAGAATTTCAGCTGGATGATAAGTGGGGCCCACTGCTGGGGCACAAGCGTATGAAGACAGATGTGCTGGGTCAGGGCTGGCAGAAGTTGATTGCCCAGGTGGTAGGCTAGGGAGAAGCACTGAAAAGCTTCTTGAGAAATAGCTCAGGCAGCATTCACTTCTGGGGTTCACTTCGATCTGGTTACTGTGGGGATGGTCCAAAGAAGTCTATTAAAAGAACAGCTGAGAAACATCCCAAGACAGGGGAGGTGAGAGGGGGAGAATGCATCCTGTGCCTCACCCCACCCCTGCAAAAAATAAAATAAAATAAAAAGCCAGATCTGATAAAGCACTCACAATAACAAAATTTTTCGTAAGAACTTCTAACATATTATCTGTTACGAACACAGGCCTGAATCTGGGGCAGGTTGTTTGGAGGGAGCTGGGGGAGGAAGAACTATAAAGAAATGCTCAGAAGCCATTTTCACTAAATTTTGAGACTCACTGGAACTGAGAAATTCTGCTTTAAAGCCTTCTAACAGTGTTAAACAAATGGGAAGCTTTGCACCCTGAGAGATCAAGACAATCACTAGCAGAGAAATGGCCATGCCTACCTAAGTAAGGAAGGTAGAGAATACTGTGTTGGGCAGAGCAGTAGAGTGGTGAAGTGTCTAGCTGCTACTGCCATGCTTTGTGAGCAACAATGGACTCCTCCATGTGCATAACACTTTTAATCACTTCGGCACTGATCTTCTAAGACTAAGGACATTCCCCTGCATAAGCACACTACCATTGTCAAAGTTGAGAAAAATTATAATAATTCCATAATTTCATCTCATATTTTATCTATAATCAGATTTTCCCACTTCTCTCAAAATGTCTTTCATAGTGGTTTTATTCCCTGAACCAAGATCTAATCAAAGTTCATGAGTTGTTTTAGTTTGTTCTTTCCAGATAATTTTTAGTTTATAATTTTGGAATAATTTTAGACTTCGAAAAAGATTTACAAAGAATTCCTATACATCTTTCACCCAGATTCCCCAAAGGTTAACACTTTACCACATTTGTTTTATCAATCTCTCTACGTATATACACACATTAGTCTTTCTTTTTGAACTGTTCAAGAGTAATTTGTAGAAGTGACACCTCCTATCTGTATATACTCCATTGTGTGCCTTCTTAAAACAAGGGCATTTTCATAAATAACCATGCATAGGACAATTGTCAAAATTAGTAACATAATTACATATTGACAATAATTACATTTTGACAATTATCAAAATCAGTAACATAATTACAATATTATTATCTAGTATGCAGACCTTATTCAAATTTCACCAGTTGTCTCAGTAATGCCCTTTATAACAACAGAAAAAAAAACTTTTTCTGCTTCAGGAGCACATATTATGTTTAGTTGTTTCTCTGATTTTCTTTAATCTAGAACTATTCCTTGGTCTTTCTTTTTCTTTCATGACCCTGGTATATTTGAAAAGTTGAAGAATACCAGAAAGTTTTAATCCAAAGTTGCCCTTCATTTGAGTTTGTCTGATGTTTCCTCAGAATTAGATTCAGGCTTTGCATTTTTGAGCCAGATGTTAAATTGTGTCCTTCTCAGTACTTTATGTTAAGGAGACACATAATATTGATATATATCATCACTGGTGATGTTAACTTGGCGATGTTAACTGGTGATGATCACTTGGTCTAGGTGGTTTGTCAGATTTCTTCATTCTTAGGCTACTATTTTTCCCTTTGTAATGAATAAGTAATTTGTTGGGAGATATTTTGAAACTATGTAAATATCCTGTTTCTCATCAAACTTTCACCTACTGGTTTTTGGCATCCATTGATTCTTGCCTGAATCATATCCAGATAAATTTTATGCTCTTGACTAGGACTTTTTGGGTTTTTTTTTTTCTCTTCAATAACCTCTTGAACACTATTTTTATAAATCTACTTTACTCAAAGTTTTTTTTTCCCCAAAATTATAGCTAGTTGGCACAAACTTTTTTATGGTATATTCAGAGACCAGGTGTTGTTGTGTCTCTTCCTCCTCACACCTTCCCTTTGGACAGGTGCTTCTTTTCTCCCAGAACTTTTATTGGCTTAAGCCATCAGCTTGTTATGTAAGATATTTCACATGACATTTCTGCTTTGTCCTAGTTTTTCTCCTGCTTGTTCCTGGTTTTAAACAAAAATCTTTTCTTTGTAATGACCACATCCTCCAATCCATCCATTTCTATTTCTTAAGTTTAGGCCTTTGACAACTCTGTTGTTAAAAGACTTTCCCATTTTTGTTGTTGTTGTTTTAAATCATGGCATTTATTTTCCAACTCTGTTATTTGCTTTACTTATCCTCCCTTTTTGTATCTCTCCCCTTTTAGCTTTTGCAAATCACCTTCATCAAGCTATCTTATTTATTTATATTTATTTATTTATGTATTTGGATCAACCTACTAACCAAAATCAAGGCATTATAAATCTTTCAGTGAGGGCTACTGTAATCTGAAGCCTACTTTCTAGTGGTTGCCATCTTCTTTTGTCTTAATGTTAAACTTAGAATTATAAAAATTAGAATAAGCAAATTCTGCACTGTTTCTGTCTACCCCTCTGCTTCCAGAAAACTGACTTGTGTTCATTATCTGTATTACTGTTAAGTTGTATTTCTATAATATTTTCAACAATTTCCGTTTGTCTTCCAAAACAACTTTGAACTCATTTTTAAAAATTAATTAATTCATTTTCCATTTACCTCAGACTCCATGTCTGACCCTACCTCTGATGCTACTAGCAATCAGGTTCATTCTTCCTGGGACTCATTACATAATGTGTTCATTTTTCTCTTTTCTTTCATTTTCATTTTAATATGTTTCCCAGGGTAACAATATATTCAATTAGAGGTTCTCAAACTTTAGTGTGCCTATCCTTTCCTCCCTTTTAGAATGCCCTACTCTTTGACCATCTCCATAGCTATGTTTATATTGCCACAAGAGTTCCACATAGTATCCCTCATAAGAAAGACTAAGTAGATTATAGTTCTCAAACTTGAAACCTTCTCTGGCTGCATATCATAGGAAGATGCTCTTAAACTCTATCTATTAATATCATTTCTTGAGCCATAGAGCATGTATTTGCCTATCCCAGCTTTAACCCTTCTCCTCTATGAAATCAAGTGTTCTTTAGAAGGAATGCTGTGTGTTGTCTGTTGCATGTGGGGATGGGGTGGGGAACATGGCCACAGATAGATTCTGAAGTCTTAGAAATTGTGTGCAGATTTTTGTGCATTTCCCTTGAGAGAGAGCTTATAGTTTCATCAAATTCTGAAGAGCATCCTGCCTCCCTTTCTCCAATTCTGGTTCAAGTTCATATTCTCCAGTCCAGAAGTTAACCAGGCTAGTTTTTCTGCATTTCAGTGTCTGAAGAAGTAAAGCGTCAGGCCACTGCTTCTTCCTTCTGCTATGGCATTCCTGAAGCGTGCACTGGGTTTAGCATTTGCCAGGTTAATGAAATTCTAAATAGTTCTCTTGGAAATTTTCGGTTCTTTTCTCATAATATAATCCCCTGAGGGAACCCAGTTTTACAACTTGAAGATCTTATCAATTCCTTAATTCCTGGGGTTTTAATTACTGGCTTGGATTCATACAGTCTTGTCTATAACCACTCTGTCTGTTGGGTAATTGCTCTCTACCTTTCATAGATAATTTCAAATTGTTTTCCCTTACAAGTGTTTTTCTGGGGTACTTCTCCCCTTCCAGAAGCTGCATAAATGTTCTCTCCCCTCTTCCTTCTGTCCCCTTTGCCTTCTGCAACCCATATGGAAAGCAAAACAGACAAGTTAAAAATGTTTGTCTTATTTCCCTTTTTGTCTTCTGCATCCCCAACCACGACTTTTTAAAGCTGCCTTCCTCTATCCTGCCCCAGTTTTTCAAATATGTTCTGTCTTTTTTTCTTTCAAAATTCCCACTTGAAGCCGACACCTGACACTCACCAAAATCCTGAACCAAAAGAAAAAAATGCTGAGATGCATATTCCTAAATTCGCTCATTTCCAGTCATACTGCCTTTAACCACGGATTCCTTGTCACTTGGGCTTTGCCCTAGCTAAACCCAAACCAGTTTTCCATATCCCTTCCATTTCTCATCCCATCCCTGCCCCACTCTTCTTTACTCATTCTTATGCTGCCCTCCTCTCAATACACTGCTCTCTCTCATTTCCATTTCTATATTCTCTCCTTCTCTGCAAATTTTCCTCCTCTCTCATCCCCCACTGGTAGCCCTTTTTGATTTCTTTTCAGTATGTTCCACTCACTTAAATGGAGATTACTTTGACATAATCCTTGTGCGGTAATGAGAGCAGATGTATTATATACACTTTTTTACAAAGATAATATCTGAAGCTTGCAAAGTTTAATCTACTTGTCTAACATAATATAACCATTTGCCATAAGAGTTATAGACCCAAAGCCTCCTTGTCATACTTGGTTTATCTAATGATCCCCCCTCCCTCTTGCAGCTAAAGATGGAGATAACAAATTGACTCTATTGACTATTTTTCTCAAGTCATATCAACATCTGTGTGTACCTTTCTTAGAAAGATAACTTTCATATTTTTGCAACAAGTAAAACATGCAATGCTTGGAAAGTCCCTGTACAAAAATCTTTGTCCAGAAGTTGTACCAGTTTATTATTTAACATTGCTTCTTAAAAAAAGAGTGGGATGTTTAACATATCTAAAATTAGGTAATGGAAATAGGATTTGCTGTCATCACTAGGAATTATATCTGTTGTAGGAGAGGTTATAAAAAATATATAGGACATCTTTCCCCTTCAAAGTAGTTGCTGAATTAGAGGCGAATCTAAGTGTCAAACCTGTAAAAATTTGGGGAAGGATGCCTGGACTTTTTCAGACATAGGAAGGAAGTGGCAGTAGTTGAATGTTGTTACTTATTCTCCTGAGTAAAGAATATAGGGACCTCAGAGTAACCCTTGGCTGTTTTCTTGATGTCCTGAAATTTCTGCTGAACTGTTTAATTTAAAAGAACCAAAACTTAAGTCTGGTCTAGAGAAAGGGTTCACCACTAAATTTGGCAGGCACCTATCAGAGTTGCTTCCAAATCACACAATTGGTGAACATTGGTACCACAAGTTGGCCAAGGTCTCTAGGCCCAACTCTAATCCTCTTCTGATATATCTCCTTCACACTGGTAATATTACTCCTTGAAAATAGTTCCTCCACCAGGCTGGTTTTTGAATATGTACCATTCATATTCAGAAAAACTTAACACATAATTTCTGAATAATCTTGAGTCACCTTAGAAACAATGCAATGAATATTTTCTAAAAGTAAGTAGAGGTTCAAGTAAATACTTTAATGAAATGAAAAGAAAATAATAAATATGGTTCCATTACATTACAGAATCTTTTATTAATTTTATTCACTCACATTTAAGCTCTTTACTTATTCTTTTGTTCCCCACTGGCCCAGAAGAGAGACTTGTTCATGGCATGACTGAAGAAAATGTCTTACTGAAAGGATAGGTGAACAAATACTCCATTTATATGCTGATTATTAAGGAAGTGAAAGCCACTAAGCTTTTTCATATTTTCACCATTTTACAAACAGTATGTAACATTTTTCCGTGTAACTTCCTATTGTGGAACTTTCTCTCCTCTGAAGCTAATTACAGTGCTGTTCAAAATCTGAATATCCTCAACTCTTGCTTTCCTTGTTCTTTTCAATATCTGTCATTGTGAATGCATGTGTTTTAACAGAATCCATATGTTTCTTATTTTTATTACCTTATTTTTGTGTGTGTGTCTACTGTGCATATCATGCATGGCTCTTGGCATGCATATCATGACAAAGGATAATCAGTTTTCTTTTAGTTTAATTTTAGAGCCAGGATTTAAGACATCATCGTTTGAATGTCTTCCAGTGTTCTCCATTTTGTTTATGGTCTGCCAATGTTCACAATTGTTCAGGAATGTTTTTATAACCCAGTCGTCAGCAGTGGTAGAAAGCACCACTGACAGATGCAGCTCTGAATGACTTTACATCCCCCATCATATAAAAGGAAACAATCACAGTAGTTGAGATTTGTGCCTCTTAAGCTGTTGACCTTACAGTGAAAAAGCAAAGAGAGGGAGAAGGAGAGAGAGAAATGGAAGGGAAACTGTATTCTCCTACAATTTAAAAAAGCCCCTAAGTTCATAGATCTATCCCTGCAACAATGTAATACAGCAATCTTGAGCTGATTTATAAAATGACAAGAACAAATAGATCACTCATTTTTTAAAAAGTAAATTGTCAGGAAAAAAATGAGAAACTTTCAAATTAGAAAATTATCTAGGAGAGGGCAATTTGCTGAGTGTTTTTTTTTAAATCACAATAATTGATGTCATATTGTAGCTATTCATTAACCAATAGCTGATGCACAACTTACATGCTTCCCTCTGTTCTTATATATGATTTCTGTTAACATCAGAAGATGATCTGTATGAGATGGGGAAAAACAAGATTATAATCTGCTTAAGCCTCTATTAAATATCCATTTACTACAATTATTATCTACTTTGCTAGATTATCAGAAAAATTTTCCATCATTGATGGAAAAAAATTATAATAGATGTAACTCCTATTAAATATTCATTTATTATCCATTTTAAATATGCACCAGATTTTCATAATGGTTCATTTAAAGCTGGTTTACAAGTAGAACACATGCCAGAGCAGAAATAACATGTACTGGTAGGATAATAAGAAATAGGAGTCCATTATACTGATTTAATTTCTCAAATAACCGAAAAAGATTAGTAGTATAAAATGTCAGTTGGTGTAGGTAACATCCACAAATGTTTTGAGTTATAGATATACTTAAATAATTTCATACATTTTGTCATTTTCAAATATTAAAAATTTCATGTTCAGAACTTTATCCTGGGTAGAAAGTGAACTGATGTAAACATTGGGAGAGAAGAAAACATATCATGTCTCTAAGTTTGGTCATTCTGCTTCCCTACTTTCAGGAACCTTTCATAAATTGTCCTTTAGTAAATATTTGGGGATGATGAGATTGAAAAAGAATTGGGTAGCTGCACACACACAAAACTGGGGAGAAAAAAGTATGTTAAAAAGTTTAAAAGGGCCAGGCGCAGTGGCTCACACCTGTAATCCTAGCACTCTAGAAGGCCAAGGTGGGTGGATTACTTGAGGTCAGGAGTTTGAGACCAGCCTGGCCAACAGAGAGAATCTCCGTCTCTACAGAAAATACAAAAATTAGCCAGGCATGGTGGTGCACACCTTTAATCCTAGCTACTCGGGAGGCTGAGGCAGGAGAATCGCTTGAGCCTGGGAGGCAGAGGTTGCAGTGAGCCTAGATCACGCCACTGCACTCCAGCCTGGATGGCAGAGCAAGACTCTGTCTCAAAAAAAAAAAAAAAGAAAAAGAAAAAAAATTAAAAAGCAGGTGGATAATTTACATTTTATTTCTATAAATACGTTAGCAGCTTGCATGCCATTTTCCAGAGCTGCCTCCAATACCACTTATTGGACTTTTTCTGATGTTTCTTAAGAGGACTAAATGCTACCCCAAAAATTACTTTCTAAAACACAGTGGAACATCTTTTCCCAGAGTATATCCTAGGAAATGCTCTAAAGAGTGGGGAAGCAATGGCAGCAGGGGTCAGGTTGCTGGGAAAATCAGTTTGGGAGGTTCTCACACAGTCTATTTTTCCCTCAAAATATGTAACACGTGTTACTATATGAATGACTCTGCTGTAAAGCAGATTATTAACTTTGTTTATTCCATCTTTTCTCAAATCTAGTTTTGATTTTTCTTTTTACCTTTCTAACCTTTTATTTTAGGCTACTGATTTTATTTTACCCCTAAAAAAAAAAAAAAAAACAAAACTCTTTTTCTCCCTAATACCCTTTAACATATTATGAGAACTAATACTCTCACTTTGGGTGAGAATTGGGTTGGAATCTTTACACTTCATCTTAATGGTCCTTTATTACCTCCATTTCATATCATCACTAGCTCTTCAAGATCTTTTATCAGTGATAATTATAGCAAGTAATCACTTCTTCTTCCACATATTCTGCAGATACTTGGGTGTGTGGATAGTCTTCTTAGCATTGTTTGTTCATAATGAGGAAATCTTAACAAATAATATAGTAAGCTAATAAGAAATTAATTATACATTTAATACAGTTTTGAAATATAGGCCATAGTACTAAATAGGTTTTCTCTGGGAATAGTTTGTTCATTTGTTTTAAGCTTTTACATATTCAAGAGACAATGGAAACTTCTGCCTCACTTCTGCATTCTGAAGGAGTTTTTGTGGCACTCAGAAACATATATCCCTGCCATCAGCCCTAGATATTTTTAGGCCTAGTTTTTATAGGTTTATAACTTCCTGAAAAGCAAGGCATTTAGAAGCTCCCTTGTATGCACCTATACCATAAGCCTGTCCACTACGGGCAATGAACCAGGTCCACTCTCCTAACAGGCACAGATGAGAAGCAGGTGCAGGTAGGCTACTCTTATCCCGAAATAATGTGTGCATCTTACTGGGTCTTCTAAATCCAGTACCTTTTCCTCTCTTCAGTATGTTTTGCAATCAGTCAGAGAAGAGTGAGACTGGAAATCCTGGAAAGAAACCTAGAGTGTGAGGTGCTAAATATGAACCACTAGCACTAGCAGTGTTTTCTGAAGCAGACTGGTTGTTCCCCTCTGCCTCAGTTCCCTCAAAAAAGGGAGATAATGAGACTTGTCATCCACAGGTTTGCCATGACCAAGAGTCATTTTCTAAGCCCCTCAATCTGTGTGCTTTCTTACAGATACAAAAATTAACATGGCGTGGCTCTTATCACACAACTTATAAGAATACTATGAAGATAAACATAGACTTGTAACATTTTATTGTTATTTCATTGTATATAAATTGATAGTCTATGTTAATTTATTTTTATCCAATAACAAAGAAAATATTTTTGATAGGATTTTGAAATGCCCCAGGGTTTTAGTTGTTTTTCCCTCCTGTTTGAGGTTTCAGTATGTCACAACTCAAGTGGTTTGTGTGTTGTGGCTTACCCATGTAGCTGTAGTCACTTCAGGAAATGTTATAAGAAAAAGGTTTAAATTTTGAAAATCCCTGTTTTAGGTGAGAAGAAATTGATGTTTGGAACTGGCTGCACATGAAAATGAATGAATGCACATTTTAAAAAATAAGTATATTTTTAAAGTAGGTTGTTACTGTAGCTTGCAGTTCATAAAGTTATTTTTAGGAAAGCTAGAAGACGTTACTCCTGCAAAATGTATGCTTTACATTTGCTAACAGTAAACAGGATTCTTGACTGTATCAAAACAGACAACTTTCTGTATTATCTGATTTCGTTTAGTAATTTATTATCAGAATTCTGGCTGACGTTCACTTTGTATATGCACATTCTTTTATGTTTAGAGCTTAAAAAGTTCAGAGGTAAGATTAATGAAAATCTTTCAGTTTAAAATTATGCAATAGAGAATTTAGCTACAGTTAAAGTAAGTGCACACTACATTTGCCTCTTTTAAGATAACCTCAGACTATTTGATATTTTATAAACTTATAAATCACGTATTACAAAATAACGTTGAGGCACTGCAAATTAATTTCACTGATTCAGCTTCTAAAAGGTAATGTTTTGCTACAGCTTGCTCTAAAATCAGCTTAAATTATGTCATTTGGATTACTATTAAGTGAACAAATTGAAATTAGCATTTTACAGCATATTTTTTCCCTGTAAGACCTAGCCAAAAATCCATATAAAACATTTATTTTTAAAAGAGCTTTAAGAGCCTTTTCATGTTATTCTAGTCAATTTGCCAATACAGCTGGTCCCTCTAGCCATACAATGGACAGCCTTCTAGCAATATCTCATCTCTAGTTGCTCAACATAGAAAATCAGTAATTCATAAAAGAGTTAGGGGTTCAGTCAAGGCCAGACTTTTGAATTTTCCGTCTTGCCTCACAAAAAATTACAGCCTGAATGCCTTGCTCTGATGTAGAAAAAGCTCTAGAATACAAACTGATGGTTGAAACACTCTGCAAATCTCAGATGATGAACTGAGCCTTACAGATCCAACAGACATGGCTATTTGGTAAAATTAGCTGACATGTGCGTCTCTGTCACAGGACTGATGCATTGATGTGGCCCTCTCTGCAGGAGGTATCTGTTCTTGTGAGAAAATGGGGGACTCAAATTGATGAGGTCCTTGCTATTAAGTTTTAATTTGAATCACCTTGGGAACCATAGCCTCCACATCCATTTTGGCATTTTCTTTGTTTACACAAAGGGAACAACTTCAAAGGGCTCTTGCCCTAGTATTCATACCAGCCTCATCACACAGAGCTGTGGTTTTGATGTTCTTGTTCCCAATTTATTGCTAGGGTCCGAGTACCTGGGTACCATGGTGATAAAGTGCCATTGAAATACATAGGTAATCAGCCAGTGTACTGGAGGATTGATTTTCTCTTTCATTTTCTGAACAGACAAAAGCAGTCCTCTCAGAAGCAATGGGAGTGAGAGGACACTTACTATTTACTTTATGAGAACAGTGATGATAAAGCCAAGATGCCATTTAATTAATAACTTTACTTTGGCAGTGACTATCTCCAGGGACCAAAAATATTGGAAACCTTAATTGACCTCTCCACATATAGAACACAGGCCTCTCTTTTTTCTTTTTTAAATTGAAAGTATAGAAAAAACAAATCATTTGCTCTCAAGATGACTTCAGAACCATAATGGAATTGGGACCAGGACTCAGAATGCTTGAATTTCGAGGTAAGACCACTTTGTACAGTGTGTCTTATTACAGATAATGATCCTCTCTTTAATCACTTGTCTGTCCTGAAAAGCATATTGCAGTTTAAAAGAGGCCATGCAGTCTGAACTGACTACAAAGAATTTTTTTAAGATCTTTTAAATATTCAGATGCATACATTTCATTTTAAATGTTGGCAGCTTTGCCATTCGCAACTATGACCCAAATTCCTCCTTCAAACATTTTAATTGAAGCCAAATTACTTCACTTTCCGCTTTTACATAATAACGTAGCACACTCACTGCTGTGACTGTAATCACGGAAAATTTGGCTTCTGGCACTTTTGCTCTATTAGCCGTCAACTTTTTTTTTCACATTTAATTTTTCATTTTGCTTGCTCATATTTTAGTATTATGTGTATTTTCTCTAATTTATATATTGTTCTTTACATTTACCTCTTTGAAGTTTTTAAGGTAATTTCCGATCTTTTTTTTTTTTTTTTTTTTTGAGACGGAGTTCTGCTCTTGTTGCCTAGGCTGGAGTGCAATGGCGCAATGTCAGCTCACCACAACCTTGGCCTCCCAGGTTCAAGCAATTCTCCTGCCTCAGACTCCCAAGTAGCTGGGATTACAGGCATGCACCACCATGTCCAGCTAATTTTGTATTTTTAGTAGAGACGGAGTTTCTCCATGTTGGTCAGGCTGATCTCGAACTCCCAACCTCAGGTGATCTGCCTGCCTTGGCCTCCCAAAGTGCTGGGATTACAGGTGTAAGCCACCATGCCCAGCCTCTGATCATTTTTTAACAGATTCATTGAGGTGTATTTGATATACAATAACCTGCACATATCGAAAGTATATAATTTAATGTTTTATATTATGTATACACTCATGAAACCACTTAAAATTGTGAATATATCCATCACTACTCCCCCAAATTTCCTCATGATTCTTTGTAATTCATACCTTCTCCCATCTCCAGCCCTTGCATCCTCAGGTAACCACGGATCTGCCTTCTCTCTATATAGATAGGTTTGCATTTTCTAGAATTTTATATAAATGGAATTACAGATTATGTGCCCTTTTCTTGTCTTAGTTCTTTACTCACAATAATTTGAGGAATCATCTGCATTATTGTATGCATCAATAGTTCATTCCTTTTTATTGCTGATTAGTATCCCTTTTATGGATATACAACTGTGTTTATTTATTCATCTGTTCGTGAAAATTTGGATTATTTCCCATTTGCGACTATGACAAACTGCTATGATCATTTGTGGGCAAGTCTGTATGAACATGTATTTTCTTTTCTCTTAGGTAAATACCTTGGACTGAAATGGCTGGATCATATGTTAAATATATGCTTAAACTTTTAAGAAATTGTCAAATTATTTTCCAAGTGGTTTCACTAGTTTACATTTTCCTACTGGCAGTATATGAGAGTTCCATTTTCTCCACCTTTCTGCCAACACATAGTCTGATAAGTCTTTTGCATTTTAGCCATTTTAACGAGTGTGTAGTGGTATCTCATTATGATTTTAATTTATATTTCTGTAATAACTGATGATGTAGAACATTATTTCATGTGCTTATTTACCATCTATATGTCTTCTTCAGTAAACTGTCTATTCAAATCTTTTATGCATTTTTTTAACCAGTTGCTTCTTATTTTTGAATTTTAAGAGCTCTTTTTTTTTCTTTTTCAAAGATGACTTTATTAAACTTTTATTTTAGGTTCAGGGGTGCATGTGTCATGGCGGTTTATTGTACAGGTTATTTCAGCATCCAGGCACTAAGCCTAGTACCCAATAGGTATATTTTATGCTTGTCTCGCTCCTCCCACCTTCTACTCTCAACTAGGCCCCAGTGTCTGTTGGTCCTGCTTTGTCTCCGTGAATTTGCGTCATTTAGCTCCCACTTATAAATGAGAACATGCAGTATTTGGTTTTCTGTTCCTGTGTTTGCTAAGGATAATGGCCTCTGGCTTCATCCATGTTTTTGCAAAAGACATGATCTCCTTCTTTTTTATGGCTGCATTGTATTCCATTGTGTATATGTACCACATTTTCTTCATCCAATCTGTCATTGATGAGCATTTAGGTTAAATGTTTTACTATTGTGAATAGTGCTGCCATAAACATTTGTGTCCATGTGTCTTTATGGTAGAATGATTTATATTCTGCTAGGTATATACCCAGTAATGGGATTGCTGGGTTGAATGATATTTCTGTTTTTAGGTCTTTGAGGAATCACCACACTGTCTTCTACAATGGTTGAACTAATTTACACTCCCACCAACAATGTATAAGTGTTCCCTTTTCTCTGCAACCTCACCAGCATCTGTTATTTTTTTAACTTTTTAATAGTAGCCATTCTGACTGGTGTGAGACAGTATCTCATTGTGGTTTTGATTTGCAGTTCTCTAGTGATCAGTGATGTTGAGCTTTTTTTAATATGCTTGTTAGCTGCATATATGTCTTCTTTTGAAAAGTATCTGTTTATGTCCTTTTCCCACTTTTTAATGGTTTTTTTTTCTTGTAAATTTGTTTAAGTTCCTTACAGATGCTTGATATTAGGCCTTTGTCGGATGCATGGTTTACAAATATTTTCTCCCATTCTGTAGGCTGTTTACTCTGTTGATAGTTTCTTTTGTTGTGCAGAAGCTCTTAAGTTTAATTAGATCTCATTTGTCAAATTTTACTTTTGCTGCAATTGCTTTTGGCATCTTTGTCATGAAATCTTTGCCTGTTCCTACTTCCAGGATAGTATTGCCTATGTTGTCTTCCAGGTTTTTATTGTTTTAGGTTTTACATTTAAGTCTTTAATCCATCTTGAGTTAATTTTTGTATATGATATAAGGAAGGGGCCCAGTTTCAATTTTCTGCATATGGCTAGCCAGTTATACCAGCATCATTTATTGAATAGGGAGTCCTTTCCCCATTGGTTGTTTTTGACATAGTCTAGATTCAAGTTCATCATTAGATGTATGCTTTGCAACTATTTTCTCTCAGTCTGTGGCTATCTTTTCCTCTCCTTAACAATATCTTTTAAAAAATAAAAATTTTTAATTTTGAAGATGTTCAATTTAAGTATTTGTTCTTTGATCAGAATTAATATTTTATTGGTTAATGACTAGGTTACTTTATACCACTGGTACAATTTTATTGATTTTTAGTACTTTTTTCTTTTGAAAGAAATTTTCAGTGTCAAGATTTCCATTCAGTCGGTGCGTACTGATTTAAAAATTAATGTCTCTTTCTTTATGTCTCTATTTTTTAGATACAAGTTATTCTCACACAGTTATAATTAACCTGCAAAATGAGCTCATACCAGAAAAAGAATATTGTGATTAGAGCAGTAATTTATATTGTTAACTGCAAATGGCTCATATTCGTTTTTTTTTTTTTTTTTTGGTTTTTCATTGTATATAAAGTTCAGGCCTAATATGCCTGTCACAACTAAAAAGAAGAGTGATCTGGTATGGCAATATTGGAGTAATTCTTTTATTATCATAGATTTGATGTTACAAAGATTTTTTCAAACTTTTCTTCAAGAAGTTTTATGAATTTTAGGTTTTCTATTAAGTGTATGATCTATTTTGAATGAATTCTTATATATAGTGTCAGGTATGGCTCAAAGTTCATATTTTTATATGGATATCCAGTTGTTCCAGAACAACTTTTTGAACAGACTCTTCTTTCTCCACTGAATTGCCTTTGTCAAAAATCAATTGCCCATATATATATAGGTCTATTTCCGGACTCTCTACTCTATCCCATTGACCTGATTGTCTGTCTTAACATCAATACCACACTGTCTTGACTAGTATATATTAATAATAAATTTTGAAACCAGACATTCTTCCAAGTTTGTTCTTTCTTCTTGAAGCTGCTTTTTCAATTCTAGGTTCTTTTCTATCCCTATGTGTTTTAGAATCAGCTTTTCAATTTCTACAAAGAAACCTGCTGGGATTTTGATTGGGATTGTGTTGACAGTGTAGATAAATTTGGATACAATTAACGTCTTAACAATATTGAGCCTTCTGACTTATGAAAAAGCATCAAATAACATGAGATGCTTAAGGATAATTCTGACAAAATATATGAGATATATACACTGAAACAAACAAACAAACAAAATTGCTAAGCAAAATTGAAGATATAAATACATGGAGATAAATGCCTCAACTGACTATTTTAAAGTTTTGCCATACTTTAAATGTCTTGTATTTTTTTTCTCTGTCTGGCAGTCCAACTTTAAAGAAGACCTAATAAATTTAAGGGTGTGCTATTTACCTCTACCTTCAGTTACTAATGAAAAAGTGATAGATGGAAAGTTTAGAAAAGTGGTGTTGATAAATAAATTATTCATGAAATCATTAACTGCTCTATATATTATCCAGGCACTTTGTTTTTTCTCTTCTTCCATTTTTCTGTCTTGTGGCACTTACTCTTCTCATTATAATCTTCTGTAGTAGCTAGGAGTGGGGAGAAGAAATGAGACTGAACTCATAAGTTCTTTTTCCCCTTGTTATTAAAAACTTTTATGGAAAAAGATATTGAATGCTGTGTTTAGGGATTTCACTTATCCTTCCTGTCCCCATTCTGTGTTCCTCATTATCATAGATGAGTGAGGATTGATAATAGTGGGAAAGTACAAACATGCACATTTAAATATCAGATTCTGCCTTCTAAATCTGTTAATGTGTTTAATCCATGAATACTCAGAACATATGTGAAGTACATTTCTCAAGAAGGAAGCCTATCTTTTTGAAGAATTTGTCATTATAAAAGATTTAGAATTATGAAATTGGTTAAATTATCTAATAAAGTTGGTTTGGTAGCTGTTGAGATTAAAATAAGCTATTACTAAAACCCTCATGAATTTTTGTGTTATGCATCCTTCATCCTTAAGATTAATAATTTTTACAAAAATTTGTTTTCGGATTTCATCTTGTCAAAGACTTGATATGAGTTATAGCTGAAGTATTGTGTTACCAAGATATGACTTTTCAGAATCGTGTGTTATAATAAATTACGTTATTCACAAGAGCATCTTCAGTAAGACATAACTAACACTATGTTATCTTGGGTACAATAAATAAAGTGAATACATACTGTGATACAATATCCTTAATTATCTTTATTATATTCACTAAATAATTTTCAAAATTAGGTAATCTGCAAAAGAGTCTCAGTTACTACTACCAATTTGTAAGGTTCTTTTGTAATGTAATTTTGAGTAAAATTACTTCCACAGTACAAAATATGAAGGGTTTTTTTAATACAAAATATGTGGTATGAGGTTATTGATTCTCTGGAAAGAAGTGTGAACAAAATATAGCAAGCAAAGAAATGGAAACCAGAAATTGTCAAGAAAAAATGGCATTTGGTCTTTGAGAAACAGAAATATAAAAAACGCAACTTCTATAATAGAAGAAATAATTAAGAGTACCAAGAAAGACTAAAATTATTCAAGTAAACAAGGTCTATGACATACATCATATGACAATTATGAAATTTGTAAATGTTATTACAAAATTAGTAGCCATCAATTGAAAAATCACAGTTAACAAGAAAATTTGCCAAGCGGATTTTAGGAAATTTATCGGGCTTAGGAAAAGGAAATAAAAAAGAGAAATTTTGCCAGCATTTACTGAGAGTCTACTGTGTGCTAAGGCCTGGAATATAAAGGTACAAAGTCAAGACCCTGAGCTCAGAGACTACTGGCTGTGGCCAAGGGATGGGCTTGAAGATGCTTTTCCCAAAAGGGGTTGTAAAGCCAGAAAAAACTGACAAAAATAACCATTTAACAGCTATGGAATCAGACAGAGGCATATGATAATCTGATAAACTTTATCCTTGAAAAACTGCTAAATTTTGAATATATGAAAGCTTCCAGAGGATGAATGCTTTACTGGCTCAAGATGTAGGAGCACAACCTTAGTCCAATCATTGGCTGCCCATTAAACTATACAGTCAGAAGGGTAACCTGTAGGAATCCAGGTTTAAAAATTACAATAAGAATTTTAAAAAGATATAGCAAGACCCTGTCTCTACAAAAAGGAAGAAAGGGATGGAGGAAGGAAAAGAAGGAGAAAGGGAGGAAGGAAGGAGTGAGGGAGGGAAGGAAGGAAGGGAAGGAAAACTGAGCAGGGATATCAGCGGCTACACCCCACAGGGAGACAGATTTCACAGATTTAGCCCTGGCAGGTTACTAAACAAAAAACAAATGGCAACAATAAAAAACAACAACTACTTTCAGGGAAAAGGTTGTACTCCAGAGTTTCTACAATATATTACCTAAAATGTTCAATTTTTAACAAAAATTCAGAGACATGCAAAGAAACTAGAAAGTGTAACCAAGGAAAAAATTATCATAGAAATTGCCTCTGAGGATCCCCAAATGTTAGATTTTGTAGACAAGGACTTCAAAGCAGCTATTATAAGCATGTTCAAAGAACTAAAATTCAGATTTAAAGAATTATAGGAAATTATGACAACGTGACTCAACAAGTAATAAATCTCAATGAGGGGATATAAGTTATAAAAAGAAAAAAGAATTAAATGGAAACTCTGGAGCTGAAAATACAGGACCTGAAATGAAAAAGTCACTAGAGTCTCTCAGTAGCAGATTTGAGATGATAGGAGAGAGAATCAGTTAACTTGAGACAAATCAATAGAAATTATTCAACCTGGAGAACACAGAGAAAAAGACTGAAGGAAAATGAGCAGAGCCTTGCAGAGCAGTGGGACAACATTGAGTGTACCAACATAGACGTAATAGGAGTCTTATAAGGAGAGAAAGCAGTAGAGAAAAAACAAAGTGTGATGAAGTAATGGCCAAAGAGTTGCCAAATTTGAAAGCCAACATTACAGATACAAGAAACCCAATTAACCCTAAGTAGTATGAACACAAAACCATCCACATCTCGACACACAACAGTCAAACTGTTGAGAGCCAAAGAAAATGAGAAAATCTTGAAAGCAGCAAGAGATAAAACAGCTCATGACATAGAGAGGAATTTATGCAATTAATGACTGATTTCTCATTTGAAAGATACTGGAAGAAAAAAAAATCAACGAAGAATTCTATATTCATTAAAACTAGCCTTGAAAAAGTGGAGGTGAAATAAAGACATGACCAAATTTTTAAAAAGACAGGAATCCATTGCTAACAGACCTGTCTTATGAGAATACCAAAGGAAGTCTTTCAGGCTAAAAGTAAGTGACACCAAAAGATAACTCAAATTCACAGAAAAAAAATGAAAAGCAATGGAAATGGTAGATATGTAGGTTAATAATATAAAAGGCTCTGTATTTTTTTCTCACATAGTAACTTCTTTAAAATACATAGGATTTCATAAAGCAGTTATTATAATTATTACTGAGTATATTATCGTTAAGTTTACATACATATATGTAATTTATATGACAGTAATACTGCAAGAAATGGGGAGAGGATGGAGCTACAAATGAGCAGATTTTCTATGTTTCACGACAATTATTTATTATTAGTCTGCAGTTGATTGTGATAAGTCAGGATGCATATTGTAATTGCTAAAGCATCCATTAAGAAAATAATTCCAAATAAATTTAGAAAATCAATATAGGAATTAAAATGGTACACTAAAAATACACTTAACACAAAAAAGGCAGTAAAGAAGGGATAGAAAAACAAAAAAACACAAGAGGCTTAGAAAACAAATAGCAAAATGGAAAATGTAAGTCCAGCCATGATAATTAAATGTGAATGGCCTAAACATCTCAGTCAGAAGACAGAGGTTGACAAACTGGATTTTAAAAAGCAAGATCTAACCAAAATGCTGTCTACAGATATACAATTTAGATTCAAAGACACTAGTTAAAAGTAAGTAGATAGAAAAAGATATATTATGCAAACAGTAACCATAAGAAAGCTGTAGTGGCTATACTGTTACCAGATAAAATAGACTTTAAGACAAGAAATATGCTATAGAGGGCTATTTTATGATAAAGGGTCAATAAACCAGGAATATACAAAAATTATAAATATAAACACACCTGGCAATAGAGCCCCAAAATACATGAAGCAAAAACTGACAAAATCGAAAAGAGAAATAGAACAAATCATGGAACTGAATTGATTAATTTCAGTCAACTAAAAAACATAAAATATTTGGTTGTCACTAGTCATATCTTTGTAAAATAATATTATACCAGACAGATATAAATTCCATTTGTAATAGAACACATACACACACACACACACACACACACACACACACAAAGACACAGGAATAAACAGTACTAATGCAGTTCCATAAGAATTTTAGAAAAGTATGAATTTGGTTTGGCCGGGCACAGTGGCTCATGCCTGTAATGCCAGCACTTTGGGAGGCCAAGGCTGGTGGATCACCTGAGGTCGGGAGTTCGAAACCAGCCTGATCAACATGGAGAAACTCCATCTCTACTAAAAAATACAAAATTAGCTGGGCGTGGTGACGCATGCCTGTAATCCCAGCTACTTGGGAGGCTGAGGCAGGAGAATCGCTTGAAGCCGGGAGGCAGAGGTTGTAGTGAGCCAAGGTTGCACCATTGCACTCCCGCCTAGGCAACAAGAGTGAGACTCCGTCTCAAAAAAAAGAAAAGTATGAATTTGACTGTAGTTTCCCATAAATCTTAGGGAAGGAGAAACTTGACTTATGATCTTATAAGAATCTCAGGAAACAATAAATTAGACTAAAGATTTCCCCTAAGGGGTAATTATCAGAGGTTTTCAACTTTGAAGAACCTCTCAAATTCAGCCTAAAGCTATGTCTAAGAACTTGTACTTAATTGATTACCTAGGTAAAGGAACGTGGAATATGCTTACTAGAGTTAAAGGTCCTGTATGAGGTGACATTTCTAAGATTGTCTCAAAGGTAGAAGTAAAATTTAAAATATGTTATTAAATAGGAAAATAGGCCTATGCAAATTAGATGAAGTTCTGGCAAGCCAAGTACAATGCAAAAACTCAGTAATTTAAGAATATGATAGACCAAGACTGAGTAAGTTTAAGTTTCACAGAAAGAGCTCAAACTAATAGGCAAACACTTGATGAATGTGAGCTTGTGCAGAGAACTAATACAATGCAAGAGTTTATTTAAAAAGAGTGTGACATACAAGTTTTAAGGAAGAATCTTTTTATTATGATCTTTTGGTAAATTTGTATTCATATGTTGCATCTGGATTTTTTTCTACTATACCTTTTAGAAAGTAGGAACTTAAAAAAAAAAAAAAAGAAAAAAAGAAAAGAAAGTCCAGAGAAGAATGGCTGATATGAAAAAGTCATGAATGGAAAATAGGTCCTTCAAAAGGGCAAATAAAAGGAATTTGGGTTACTTTTCTGAAAATGGGAAAGGCTAAGAGATGGCAGCATAATTTTTAAAACTAGGCTAAGAATCAACAGCTGTTATTTCTAGTTCAAGGTCGTCTTTGCTTAGACAAATCCAATGATGATGATGATGATGATGATACTGATATTTCTAAAATTGACACTAATATTTATAGAGGACTAATGCTTACCATTTACATGGGTTGTCTTATTTAACTTCATAATCATATTATGTGGTGAATACTTAAATTAGCTCCATTTTTCAGAATAGAAAACTGTATATAATTTTCCTCAGATGAAAACAGTGCTATTAAAATGTGTCCTACTTACTGCTTCAGGTGGAAACATGAAAATGATTTGCAACACTCTAGCTGCCAAGGTTTATTTGTCTTCCTAAAATTATAGGAATTCTATGTAACGATGCTTCATGATCCAAGTAAGGGAATATTGGCCTCAAAGCAAAGCCATTGACTTTTCGCTCTGATATAATTAAAGGCAACAAGAGGTTGTTGAATACCTGTTATATGCTTAATATGTTTTCAGATGCCATGCTAGGATATACAAAGAAGAAACAAGACTGAAACATATTTAATGTTCTATAATAGTTTTAGCAAATGATTGTTGATCACTATATGTTCATTTAGTCTTCACAACAACCCTATGAAGTAGCTACTATCATCCTCATCTTACAGATGAAGAAATAGTACCTAGTTAATGACAGAACTAGGATTCAAACCCAGGTACTTGGGCTCCTCAGCATGGCTTGAGAGACAGACAGAAAGAGAGAGAGAGAGAAAGAAAGAAAGAGAAAGAAAGAAAGAAAGAGAAAGAAAGAAATGAAAGAAAGAAGGAAAAAGAAAAAAAGGTAAATTAGTTAAGGCTATGTGAAGTCAGGAAAAGGGAAAAGTCATTTTGAACCAGTTTGAACAAGTAGCTTCAGTATCCTTAAAGTGATGGGTTTGTGTGCCAGAAAATGGTACAGAGTATATTATAAGTTGTATGGGAATGAGCAGAGCATATTTCGAGTGAACGGAAGCTGGAAAGGGCAGTTGAGGATGGATAAGCCCTGTGTCTTGTGGGTTTATTTTTTATCTGGGGGGACAGTGGAGAGACTTCAAGTATACCAACCTGCCCAGGCATGCTTTGATGACTAGAGGTATATGTGGGATAAGGTAGGGCCACATATAAAGGGATCTTTAATAACAGAGTGAGGTATTTGAACTTGAGATGATAGGTAGTGAGGGATCATGTGTCATAATGAAACCCAGCCATCTGGTTAAAATTAGCAATTGGCCCTGAGGTGATAAAATACTGGCAAGCTAGGAGTGGGCCTAAAAATGAAATGATGAATCTGACAGAAATGTTGAAGACATATTACCAAATATCAGATACTAACTGGATAGAAGGAATAAGAGAAAGTGGGGAGTCAGATGGGCTCGCGTTTTCAAGCCTAAGAAACTTGGGAGATTAGAATAACTGGCACCAAGAAACTGGGACAAGGAATGCATTTAGGTAGGAGAAAGTAAATGTTTTTTAAATGTTTGAAAGATAACATGAGAGCCATTTTGGAATGGATTTTAAAGTCCTTGTTGATAGTTGACTTCAATCCACAGTAGGTCCTGAGACAGCTAATCTTAAGTTTTAATAATTCTTTACTTTTAAGAAGTTACCAGATAAAAATCTATCCAGGATAAATGTTAATCTATCTGAAATAGGCACTGGGCCATATGGCCTCATAAGATTCCATGCATGATTGCATTCAACAGACACATACTGTGAACCTCCAGCTAGTATTGCATAGTAGTTGGTGTCATAGCTTAGTAATGAACAGTGTGTCCTCTAGAGTCAGGCAGAACTTGGGCCATATCAGCTCCTGCTCTGGACAGCTGTGTGAACTTGGCAAAATACTTACCCTCTATCATTCTGAAGCTTCTTAGATGTGAAACAAAGATCATGATAGCACCCACCTCATAGGAAGGTCATGGAAATTAAGGGGGATGATGCATGTGAAGCCTTTAGCCTAGTGTCAAGCACACAGAAGATGATCAGTGTTATCTGTCACATACCACTGTTATTGTCTTCCACAGTCTTCAAATTTCTGTCATCCCTGTCATCACTATCATCCTTGTCATCGTTGCCATCCTTGTTTCACCATCATCCCTGTCTTCACCATCATCACAATTGTCAGTGTTTACATCAGCGTTGCTGTTGTCACCATCATCCTCTTCCCCATTGTCATCCCCACCATCGCTGTCATCCCCATCATCATTATCTCTGTCTTCACCATCTTTCTCTCCTTCCCTGTCATCCCGGTCATCACCATCATAACTGACATCCCATTGTCACCTTCATCCCTAACTTCACCATCATCCTTATCATCTTGCTCATACCATCAAGGCACCTGCTTTGTTGTTCCTTCGTCAGTTTTTCTGTGAGCAAGTCCTGAATATCAGCACTTTGCACTTTCTCCATAGGGCAGATGTACACATGGAACAGTCTTTGAATGGTTATTGTTAGCTTAGTCACACTGTACCATTTTCCAGTTCTTGTTCTAATAATAGATAGTATCTATTATTTAATGATATTGATACAAAAATATAATTTGCTTGAATTACTCTTGTTTTGGGTTAATCCAAGAATTTGAGTTTCATTTATAATATAGCAGATCAACTGCTTGAAAAAAAAAGGCCACACTATTATCGCTTTCTTACTTTTTGTGGCAAAACTGCACAGCATAAAGCATTTACAAGCTTATCTCTGTTTAAATAAATTTAATTAAATTTGAATTCAGCAGGCCTTGTTGCATAAGAACAACATTGACTTTGCTGTTTGGGTTTGCATGTTTTATGAACATCAGCACCCTGCTAAATGAAGAGTGGAAAACAGGCCCTTCTGAACTACCTCTCAACCCTTTCATGAAGGTTTTTTAAAAAGAGATAATGAAAAGAATTTGACCATTGTTTTATTATTGCTAAATACATATATTTTTGGGAAAGGGGCTTCCTGTTGACCATGTGTTCTTTTAAAACATCAACTTAGTGAGGTAGTTTATATTTTGTCCTGACTTCTGCTTTGAAATATTACAAGATTGTTTGTGTATAAAGTGCCTTTGATGAATAAGATAAAGGAATGTTGCTTTTCAATAAGTCATGTACCCATTATTCTACTTTTTAGAGGGAAAAGCTTTTTATTTACTCTGTTGTCCCCGTCCTCATAATATGCATCAAGATTAAAGGGTATACAGCATGGATAAAAGAATAGCTCCTTGGTGT